>NC_000004.12:132557744-132860774 GCF_000001405.40 Homo sapiens | reverse complement strand
CAGTTTTACTACACATTCCAGCAACCACATTTCAAGATTTCTGTTCAGTAGATTTGAAAACTTACATTCAGACAGAATCTGCATGTCGGTGTCCATATTAGTTTCACTTATAAACATCAAAAATTGCAAGCAACCAAGATGTCCTTCAATAGGTGAATGAATAAACAAACGGTGGTACATCTATGTAATTGAATATTACTCTATAATAAAAAATAAATGAGCTGTCAGGTAACCAAAAGACATTGATGTACCTTCAATACATCTTGCCAAGTAAAAGAAGCCATTGGCTATATTCTGTATGATTCCAATTATATGATATTTTGTATAAGATGAAATATATAGAGGATTAAACAATCAGCAATTGCCAGTAGGTTGGAGGTACTGCGGATTGAATAGGTAGAGTGCAGGAGACTTCTTAGGGCTGTGGAATCATGGTGTATGATACCATGATGCAGGATAAGTGACATTAGGCATTTATCAAAACCCATAGAACTTTACAGCAAAAAGAATGAAACTTAATATATACAAATTTATATTTTAGAAGGTTTGGGGATTCTATAAATTAATGCAGACTGTGACTGCATGATCAATATGTTTTAAAAGAGTATGAAACAACCTTACTAAAGGGAATGTAGAAAAAATTGCTGACCTAAGTAACTCTGGAAATGAGAGAATGTACGACTAAAAGCAAGAGACTTCACAAGCACAGAACTGTAGTTGACACAGTTGTTTCCTACAGGGATACACACTACTTTCAGTATTACTACATATGTATACTGGAATTGAACAATTAAGAATGTCCATGATAGATGGTGGGAGCCAAATTTCCCACAATTATAATGAGAATACACCGATAAACAAGGAGATGAGATTAAAATGATTCTTGAGATAAAAAGACAAATAGTTGGAAACATCATTAGAACTCATGTTTACCTGAATATAGAAAGAGATTGTTACATATGAAAATATTATATAGATATATACATCTATCATAGTTTACATATACACATATTTTCCTTTCTTTATTATCAGTAAGACTCCAAAAGCAATTGGCCCCTAGTAGCAACAAGCAAACCTAATTCCTAAATCTTGCTTTTTAGTACCATTGTCTAATAAAAACAGGACTCTTTGGAGAAACGGCTTGTTCTAGGACTTGAGAGGAAAAATACAAGATGAGCTTGGGAGATCTGAAGTACCAGAAAGTAAGGAAGTGCTCAAACAGAACAAAACAAAACAACTATGTTAATGGAACAATGAAACAGGATGGCTAAGTGAAAGAGCTTTCAATAGTCACAGCTAGAATAATTTGAGCAACAAATTAAAGTAGTACTGAATTATATTAATATATTGAATTATAACCCAACATACACAATTAATATCCATGCATTCATACTGATATAAATAAATGATTGAATAACTACATCAAGAGGGGAGAATAGACAGATGGCCTATGCAGAATTCTGGATAATTTATATAGAATCTCCACCCACAAGTGAAGAGATTTTCTATTGCTTAAGAGTAGGCTGTGACTGGGTGCAGTGGCTCAGGCCTGTAATCCTAGGCCTTTGAGAGGCCGAGATGAAAGGACTGCTTCAGCTCAGGAGTTTGAGACCAGCCTGGGTAACATAATGAAACCACATCTCTATCAGAAATTTTAAAAACTTAGCCAGGCATGTTGGTGTGCTCCTGTAGTCCCAGCTACTGGAGTGGCTGAGCTGAGAGGATCACTTAAGCCCAGGCAGTCAAGATTGCAGTGAGCTGTGATGGTGCCACTGCACACTCCAGCTGGAAGACAGAGCAAGACCCTGTCTCTAGTATATATAAAATATATATTTTTACATATATAATATAGAAATATATATAAATTATATATTATGTATTATTAATATAAAAATAAATATAATAATTATATAAATAATTATATATAATTTTATATAAACATATCATATTATATATAACATACATAATACATTTATAATTATATGTAATTTTATATAAATATGTATACACACATATATATAAAAGAGTAGGCTATGTATGGTGACTTTTTTAGACAAATTACAATATGAAATGGGAGGAAAACAAGAGATTAGCTTTACAGTAGAGAAACCTGTTAAACATCACCCTAACAAGGCATTCGAAGTCAGTATCAACATATATCATGTTCCTAGTTTGTACCCTTCATATGATGTAAGGACACATAATCTAGTGTAATCATGAGAAAATAACTTCAAATAAATTACAGTACAGGGGAATCTTTCAAAACAACTGATCAGCACATCTCAAAACCATCAAGGTTTTCAAAAACAAGGAGAAAAGAGTGAAAAACTGTTGCAGTCAAGACAGTCATAAAGAGATATGACAACTAAATGAAATATGGTATATTAGATGGAATCCTGAGAAATAAAAAAAATAAAACTAAAAAAATCTAAGTATGAGCTTTAGTTAATAATAAGATGTCAATACTGGTTAATTATAACAAATTTACCCCACTAATGTAAGGTATTAATAATAGGAGAACCTGGGTGCAAGGTATATGAAATCTCTCTCTACTGTCTTCTTCTCAATTATTTTGCCAGTCTCAAACTGTTTTGAAGAATAAAGCTTCGTGTTTTTTTTTTTTTTTTTTTTTTTTTGGCTACAACGAAGCATAAATTCTTTTCTTTGTATTGCAATGTCTGTCTTAAGCTGATTCACTCAATGTAAAGGGCCATTTGCCATCTCTCCAAAAAAGTATTTACTAAACATGAGCGGTATTGCATAAAACATGAGTCCTTTCTTTCTTGGGATATGAGTGTTTGTCTACTTGCATTGAAACTTCATACAAAGTCTTTACATAAAACTATTATGAATTGGATTTTGAACAGTCTGAATTTGGTGAGGATACACATGGGAAAAAGACAATATCCCCGATTAAAGGCTTCTTTGTGCTCAAATATCCCTCCCTTTCTTCTGGAGGTCATCTATTTCAGTAGTAAGAACACATTACATTTTGTTAAGTAAAGTTTGCCTGCAAATATATTTAATGTTCCTATTAAAATCCAAATCATTTTTCATTTCTTTTTTCCCCACAATATTGCGATGTGTCAGAGAGACATGGTTCGTTTATTCATGGTCATTCCTCCCTGTCCTCTTCTCTGTCATTTCTGAATCTTTCAGGATAAAGGTGGAAGAAGTAAGGATTAGAATTAGGTGAAATAAATTAAAGCATTTTTATTTGTATTTTTTGTTTATTTGCCTACTTTTAATTTGAAAAACTTCTTGTTGCTAGGTTCATTTTGCACAAGAAAACACATAAGTTCTTACCAGGACAAAAGGTGGGCATTCAGACAGCCCTTTCATCTCATCTTATGCTTTAAAATGGTTCTACCCATCTCTCCATATACAGAATCGTAATGCAGGTGCAGCGCATACATCAATCTATGTGTTGACATGTGTCCCAAGCTCCAGATGACATATGCCAAGCTCTCCCCAAAACTCTCTTACCGTGCTCTGTTCTATGAATAGCACTGAATTAGGGCTATGATTTTCTGCAGCTGGCTGATTATTCGGGCACCTTGGGATGCCCAATCTCCTCATTTATAGGTTCCTTCAATCTCTCTGAGTTTATCTCCTGATGCACAGTCCCTCAGCCATGACATGTTTTCCAAAGATAATGTCTTCCAAATATGATATATTCAACTATTTCAAATAAATGTGGTGATGAAAGAGAGAAAAGCTTTGAGTACTATTTGTAAAGTACTTCAGGGAGTTTCCAGAAGTTATCTACACTTTCTGTATCAACTGTTGTTTTAAGCATTGTGACTTTACCTATAATTATGGAGTAATAAAAAAAGTTCCTCATTAAGGGACATACACAGTAATTGTTTGAACATCTATTACAGACTTTACTGGGACTCTATCACCTTCATGGTCCAGCTTGGTGATTAAATTAGTAGAACCATAGAATGTCATACGCTTGAAAATAGAAAGTTGAAATGTACTTAACAAGGAATTTTCAGCTCGTGAGTAAGTAAAGATATTTAGTGATGGAAAACACTATACTCCACACTCTGAGTCACTACTACTGCTAAAGTGATATTGGCAAGCTAATTAAAGTAGTTATCCATATTGAACACTTCAAATATAAGAGTATTACATTTTTATTGTGGTAAAATACACATAATATGAAATCTATAACTTCAACATTTTAAGTATACAGTTCAATGGTATTAAGTGCATTCATAATGTTGTCCAACTATCACCACCATCCATCTCCATAAGTCTTTTCATATTGTAAATTAAAACTCTGTGTCCATTAAACAATAACTCCCTATTCCCTTTTCCCCCTTGTGCCTCACAACCACCATTCTACTTTGTCTCTATGATTTTGACTACTGAGAGAACTTCATGTAAGAAATCACATAGTATCTGTCTTTTTGTGACTGACATTTCATTCAGTATGCTATCCTCAAAGTTCATTCAAGTTGTAGTATATGTCAGCATCTCATTCTTTTATAAGGCTGAGTAATATTATTTGTAGGTATATGCATGTTGAGTGTCCCTAATCTGAAAACCCAAAAGTTGAAATGCTCCAATACCTGAAACTGACTTTTTGATCACTAACATGATGCCACAAGTGAAAAATTCCACACATAAGTACTTAGCACAAACTTTGTTTCATGCACAAAAATATTAAACATATTGTATAGAATGACTTTCAGGCTATGTGCATAAAGTGTATATGAAACACAAATGAATTTCTTATTTATACTTGGGTTCCTTCCCCTATATATATCTTTATATATGATATTCAAAAATCCAATAATATAAAAAATCTATGACACTCTGGTCTCATGTAAGGGATACTCAGCCTGTTCTGCATTTTGCTTATCCAGTCACTTGTAGAAGGGCACTTGGCCTGCTTTCACGTTTTAGCCATTGCGAACACTGCTGCTATAAACATGGGTACACAGGTATCTCACCAAGATCCTGCTTTTAATTCTTTTGGCTATATACTCATAAGTGGAATTACTGAATCATATGGTAATTTTATTTTTATTTTTTTTAGGAACCATGAGCATTACATTTAAATTCATCTAAGATGACTATAGAATACAATCTTTTTGTCTTAATGAATGTTTGAAATTTTGTAAGTGATCTAACATATCAAATACAGATTATGAGGTCTTGTTTTCAATAATATAATTAAGTAGTATATATTTAATATATGAAGTATATTAAATGTCATTTGTGAGTGATTCTGAAATTATTTTAGATCTTAAAATGCCACAATTAAAACATTACATTCATCAAGATTTGTTACTCAATAGCAGTTTCAGTAACACTCAAACTTTCTGTTTCATCATTTTGGTTATTTGTTTATACAGGATACAAGAGCACTGAATATGGTAGACAGCTATTGTTGATTAGTTTAGGGTACAGTTTCAATCTACCATCCTAGGAAAAACAATATCATTTGTTCTCAAACATTATCTATTCATATTGGGATGTTAGTACATCTTATTAAAAGGGAGAGACAGGTTTTGCACTAGGGAATAACTATTCATCTTTTATTTAACCTATTCCCCAACAAAACTAGAATGCTCCAGGGAATTGAAGAGGATTCAGGCCAAACTCTGGAACCCAACTCCATCTGCTTGAGAGGTTATAATTTCCCTTGTAATCAATATGAGAACTGATGGTACAGTGAACACATTTAACAGTTGTATGTATCTTGTCATTGTTTTGACTAAGTCCACCAAATTTCTATCGTGATGTTTATTCATTTGGTCCCCATGAGCTCAAAAATTAGGAAGTTTCTCTTCTTAATTCTGTCCATTCAGTAGAGGTCTTTCAAATAATTCAGCAGAGGCAAGTATTATTTCTGGTGAAATAGATTTTATACTCTATAAAATACCGTATGATTTCTTACATAATAATGGCCTTTAATGTGTCTTGCTGGAATTGATTATAGTTTGTCTATAATTGAGTAAACTAACTATACAAGGATGTTAGATAGCTACAATTTTAAATAAAACAGCAGATCAACTTTCAGTATTCACATTTAACTTTTCATTTTAATTAATGTCCTGTTTTACCTATACAGAAGCAACTGAGAAATCAGAAGCAGAGAATGAATGAAATACATTTAGCTCATTCAATCTCCTTGTTCATTTGTATTTCTAGCTATGTTGTTGGAGAAAGTTACAAAATTATTTAATTTTTCTGGATATTTTCAGTCTTTCTTAATGGAGGTTACTCATCCAGTCTAAATTTAAGTAAGTATGTTTTACCTTCCTTGTGAGATAGCAGGGAGTTATAATTAATACATGTGAAGTGTTTAGTTATCACAATGCCTCGCAAGGTTAATTATTATTATGATTGTTAGAATTTTTCAAAAGGGAAATATTTCTAAAATTTATATTGTTACTTATTCTTAAATATTTGCTCACCGAATGAATTACATTTGTAAAGGCTTCCTCAGGATTTATTGAAAAATAAGTGAACATATTTTATGTCCAACAACTGGCACAATTCTTTCTTAGATTCTATTAAGCTTATGTTATATGTGTATTGAATTGAGCCAAATGTCATAGTATGGCTCATAGTATCTACTGTGTATGGAACAAAGATGTCTACTGCATCCTTTTTCAGAAGTCACTTATTTTAATTATAGGGTTAAGTACTATGGTTCCATTAGAATTTTTTACTCAGGAAGCATAGAGTGTTCTTCCCCTTCAGTTTGCAGTTAGGCTATGAGCTGCTGTTTGCTGTCTCTACTCACCATCTTCTCTGGCCTCAAGGAAGGTATAGGAAAGTGGTATAATCCAGGCTGAGTGAATATACAACTTTATTTTTCACACAAGGTGTGTATGCATACATGTGTAGGGATAGGAATGTTTTAAATGATTACTCACTTGGACTAGCCCAAAATCACACACACACACACACAAAACCTGTCACAAGGGTAATTTCTTAAGGTTCTTAGCATCTCCTCTCGTTGACACATCTGCATCCCTTAATTTACAATCTTCCCTTGTTGACACATCTGCTTTCCCTTTGATTCTCTACTATTCTTTTGTAAAAATTACCTGCAAATCCTTAAAAAATTGAATTAATGACAGGGTCTATTCTTCTTGACATGTATTTCCATTAATACAAACTAATTCAACTTGGGCTATAACCAAAAGTTGCACCCTGAAAGTCAGTGATGCTTGGTTACTAAGTTCATATTATATAGAACATCCTACTGTTTGATAGCTACTGGACCAAGTCTGGGCAAGTTTTCTACAGGTTAGATTTCTTTTATTCAGTGTGAACTGCTCCCTTCCTTCCCCACACTTTGTGAAACACTAGCATGCCTTTAACTCTTTAAGTTTTTCCTAAGAAGCAGTGTGAATCTTCGAAGTTGATACAATAAAAGGCATACTGGTCAAGAAACAGAAGAGCATAAATCAGAGTAGGAGAGAAAATGTTTCTTTAATTAGAGGATTTCCATTCTAGCACACAGAGAAGAGAAACTTTTAATTTTCTTCATTATTTATCTTAGAGCTCATTAGAATAATAAAGCAACTACATTATTCTTCAAGGGATGTTACCTTTTCTAATCTCTGGGAACTGATAATTCTAAATTCTGAATAGACTTTGATACTCCTCTGAGTGGGTAAGTAGCTATTTTCTCATGTCAGTTACAAAGGGGAATCTAAAACTGTTATAAAGTGCACCCAAATAAATGACATCTTATTCCTAACTGTATATTATGCCTCGAATATGTACTACTGGGTAGTCAGCAGAGAATTAAAAATAAAAGCAACCACAGCAACAGAACAAATAATTGAAACAGAAGAGTCTCCTCATCGTGAAAATGCTCTTAGGATCAATGTCCTTTGAAATATATACCACCTATCAGAAACACCTATCATTTTTGAGACTTTCTCCAGGAAAGAAGAAGAAAATACACATGCACACACACACAAATTATGAAGCCTCATAATCTTGAAAAGTTGGTTTATTATTTCTATTATTTATAAGGATACTGAGAATTATCAAGTTTACCTAACTTGTCCAGACTCGCACAGTTGGTAAATAGTGAACCAAAATTTTGAAGTCAATTTTGCTTGACTTCAAATCCTGTAGAATCACACCATTGTGCTCAAATATTTTACAAATACTAGTGCTTTAATTCCATCTCAAAACTTCCAAAGATAGGTGTAATTAATTGCTCAGGTAATAGAGAGGCAATATGGCTTGTGAATCCAATTTTCAATTCCATACTCATGGCTCTCAACTCTCACTTCCGTCTTTCTCATTTGTTTTCACTTAAAACCCATATTTCAATAACATATTAAAAAACATAATTTTCTGTTATCATAGTTTAACAAATATCTGTCTTGAGAAAAATTTAAAATGAGGTGGAAAGTATGTGCATATTTGCATAAGTGAACTAGGAAGAGATGGACAGCATAGAAGACCACTGTTAATAATATTTACACTTTAGCCAAACTATCTTAAGGAAATTCAATTAAAACTCTATTTCTGGCTGATAGGCAATTAGGAATTGTGTGCTATTTTATAGTGTTATTTTGAAAATATTTTAAAAATCTACCCTATGACTTTATGATCATCAATATGTAAAAGAAAGACAAAAGCAAGCAAATCAGCATTTTCTTCTCAATGATTAGTGAAAAATCCTCTTTACATTATTTTTCAGAATAGATGAGTGTTTGTCATACTGGCTATAAGTCAAAATTAATTTTGTTCTATTGGCTTACATAGTATGGACTTACTTAGGCTTGTAGAGTATTTGAATAAATTGTCAATACTTTAAAATCAATAATAATATACAAATTCGAATATTTAAACTCTAACATTTATTTTTAAAACCGGAATATCTGACAATATCAAGTTTATATGGCATAAACTGAATATTTTAGATGTGTCAGAATTGAGTCACCACAATTTATCAGCAAAGTGCTACAGTTTGGGGGATGAAAGAGAATCTCATTAAATTGCATTTCTCATTATCAGGCAGAAGCCAGATTTGTCTCAGGCAAATGGAGATGTAGGGTTACTATAGCTATGAGTCTTATAGTCATCAATGTCTCTAGTGCTCTTTATTTCCAAATGCTAAAGCTAAGTGTCAATAGTTATTGCACTGTTATATTTTTAAAAGCAAAGAAAAATATTTACCATATTTGCTTCTAAGAAATTAAAGAAATAAAAAACATATGTTGACAGTATCATTTGCCTCAATAGTCTATGCATTATCTTTGTCAAAACATATTAATCTGTACTTCATTCCAATATTACATTCTATACTATTCATTTTGATAGCATTCTGGAAATTATTAAGTGTTCAAGTTTTGTAAGTATTACATTATATTGCTATTATAATCAATCAGGAAATACAAGAATTTTAAACTTGCTAATTGTCCAGATAAAAAGGTGTTATGTAATAGAATTCTTCAAAAACTACTGTGGAAAGGAAGTTCCTGAGTTTTTCAGAATTCTAAGTTATAAGAAACATTTTGGGATGGTAATATGAAATATATATTATAAAATGTTAAATTTGCATTCAAGAACACCAAGATGCCACTACTGCTAGTACTAATCCTATTGCTGCTATTATGAGTACTACTATCCTATGAGAACCACATATTAAAGTAGGAGCTACTACATGCTGATTTTAATCTTGGAAAAGAAGATCCTCTTTAGATCTCTTCATTATAAGCTAGTAACATATATACCTTTTATTTCTGTAACTATTGATAACTTATTTTCAGGGGAATGAAAGTATCAGGATTCATGAAGAAAAATTTCAGGCTACATTACCAGTAAGCAGTCCAATTTATAGACAATTTCTCAGAGTCAATATTCTAGTTGAGACAGAATTGCATCATTTTCCATTTTTTTCTATTAACACTAAAGTTTTAAATAATAAGTTCAGCATTATACATTTTATTTTTTTCCATCTGAGTGGACTTGGATGATTCTCCCCCAGGAACAAAGGTGCAGGAGTAAGGCAATGGCTTTCTAAATATTCAAAAGTAATTATAAGGGGTATCTGGAAAAGAGAACTTCATAGGAATCAAGTTAAATTCACTATACTGACTACTTTGGGCATCAAGTGTGAAATGACTTATTTTTCAATAGTTCTAAACACATACCATTGAAATGAAAATTTATTATAAATAACCTGAAACTTTCTGATAAACGATGTGTTATATAAAAATATAAAGACATATTTGTATATTTCACATTAACTTCTAATACCACATGAAAACATATATATGATTATGTGTACATACAAATATAGGTATGTGGGTACATACAATATTTAGATATGAATATATATATGTGTACAGATGGATCATTAGATCTCTCCAATGCATGTAGGAAATCATACTATCTTATAGACAAAAATCAAAGAGAAATGCCTACATGGATAATTTGTTCAAAAAATGTAAAGCCTAACAAAGAACTGTCACGTCTTAATTATATTTTTTAATTTTTAATTATTATGGATACATACTAGTTGTACATATTTATGGGGTCCATTTGATATTTTGATATAAGCATGCCATGTGTAATGATCAAATCAGGGAAATTGGGGTGTCCATCACCTCAAGTATTTATAATTTCTTTTTATTAGGAGCATTCACATTCTATTCTTTTAGTTATTTTGAATTACATAATAAATTATTGATAACTATAATTACCTTTCTGTATAAGTGAACACCAGAACTTATTCCTTCTTTCTAACCATATTTTGTACCCATTAACTATCTTTTCTTTATTACCACTCCCCAATCCACTTTACCTCTGGTAACTATTTTTCTACTCTATCTTCGTGAATTCATTATATTTTTAGGTCCCTATATTAGGGAGAATGTGATATTTATCTTTGTGTGTCCAACAGTTCCATCCATGTTGTTGCAAATGACAGGGTTTTATTCTTTTTTTATGGATAAATAATATTTCATTGTGTATATATACATTTTCTTTATCCATTCATCTATTGATGGACAATTGGGTTGATTCAATATAATGGCTATTGTGAATAGTGCTACAATAAACATGAGAGTGCAGATAACTCTTTGATATACCAATTTTCTTCCTTTTGGATATGTACCCAGCAGTGAGATTGCTGGACGAAATGGTAGTTACATTTTTAGTTTTTTGAGGAACCTCCATACTGCTCTCCATAGTGGTTGTCGTAATTTACATTCTCCCAACAGTGTATGAAGTCTTTTGGATAAAAGCCATTTTAACTGGTGTGAGATAATATTGCATTGTAATTTTAATTTGCATTTCTCTAATTAGTGATGTTAAACATTTTTTCATATACCTATTGCCCATTTTTATGTCTTCTTTTGATAAATGTGTATTCAGATCATTTACCCATTTTTTTAACTGGACTCATATCTTTATTGCCATGGAAGATAAAGAACTTAAAAAGTCCTTCAAAAATATTAGAAAAGACTTGTAGTTATACATGCTGTCTTCTTAACTATATTTCACAATTGTTAAACTTAAAAGTTTGTTTTAGCTAAATGTATTTCAGTTTGATTTAAAATATAGTTTTGAATTATTAGATTTTTAAAGCATAGGGCACTGGAAGATTTTTAAATATTTATTTACATAAAAATGAAATAATATATATTAAGAAACACATATTTTAGTACAATCATCCTCTGCATAATGAATGTTGGTCATGAGGGACTACATTTATGATGGTGGTTCCATAAGATTTTAAATGAGTCTAAAAATTACTATCACCTAGTATTTCCTATAGTATACTTTTAATCATTATTTTGGAGTGTACTCCTCCTATTTGTATTTTTTTAAAAGCTAACTGCAAAATAGCCACAGGCAGGTTCTTCAGGAGGTATTCCAGAAGAAGGGATCATTATCATTGGAGGCAACAGCTCTACGCATGTTATGGCCCATTAAGACGTCCCAGTGGAACAAGATGTGAAGGTGAGAGACAGTGGTGCTGATTATCCTGACCATGTGTAGGCTTAGACTAATGTGTGTGTTTGTGTTTTAGTTTTTAACAAAAAAGCTTAAAAAGTCAAATTATACAAAAATTTAAAAATAGAAAAAAGCTTGTAAAATAAGTACATAAAAATATTTTGTACAGCTATGGAATGTGTTTTTTACCTGTGTTATTACAAAAGAGTCAAAAAGTTAAAAACAATGTAAAAGTTGATGAAGTAGAAAAGAAAAGTTACAGTATACTAAGGCGAATTTATTATTGAAGAAAGAGAAACATACTTTAAATAAATTTAGTATAATATAACTTATTTCCAGTGTTTATAAAGCCTACAGTAGTGTGCAGTAATACCCTAGGTCTTCACATTCACTCACCACTCCCTGACTTACCCTGAGCAACTTTCTGTCCTGCAAACTCCATTCATGATAAATGCCCTATATGGGTGAACTATGTTTTAAAATCTTTCGTATAGTAATTTTACTGTATCCTTTCTGTGGTTAGATACCCAAATACTCACCGTTGATTTAAAATTGTCTATAGCATTCAGTACACTAACATGCTACACAGGTTTGTGACCTATGCAATCGGCCATACCATATAGCCTAAGTGTGTAGTGGGTTTGTGTAAGTATATGCTGTACAATGTTTGTACAACAGTGAAATTGCCTAAGGACTCACTTCTCAGAATGTATCCTTGTACTTAAGCAACACATCAATGCATGTCATTTCCCTCTGTCTCTTCTATACACGTACCTTGAACTTCATATTTGTGAGAGGGAAACATGTGTAATCTAAGTTAGTGCTGTTAATATATTAGGACTAAAGAGTTACAGAGCTGACCTTGTCTTATCTTTCTTTGCAGGCTTTTAAAATAAGTTCGAGGGTTTCTGTTCTATGAACTAAAATTTAATAACATGCTTGTAGAAGGTAAAGGTCCCAGACTAAGAACATTTCTCCTTGAGAAAGTTCAGAGCCTGTATTTCCTAATAGTAGCTTCCAGGCTAAAAAAAAGAAGAGACTTGCTCTTGCTCTTTTGTCTCTTCAGATAGAGGAGTGGCTTATATATGAATTGAATTAAGTACATAAAAAGTGATAATTTTTATGTATAGACCTACTATTCAATTTACTATTATTTCTACCTGCCTTAAAAAATTTGATGATTAAAATAATGTTCTGATAAAGAAATATGTTTAACATAGCTCTTATATATCATTATTCTGTATTTTATAAAATGATATTAGTAACTGATTTACCTAATATCAGGGTTTATTAAATTTATTAATTTCATTAGCATTATTGGTTACCAATTTGTATATAATAGTAAATTATGTACTAGGTGAAAATATGAAATGCCTGTTTTTATACATATTTCCACAGTGAGAATATTTGGAGTTTAACATTATTTCCTTTTAAAATTAAGATGCAAGTTATAATTACAGTCGTGACCTGTGTTTAACAGTATGGATTCTGAATTTTAATCTAGTCCCCATACTTGAACTCAGAAAAATGAACTGAATCTCAATTTTAAGACAGTACAAATTTATACAAAAACATTCTAATGATTCCAATTTTATTTCAATTCAATTACTAAAATATGTCTTTGATTTTTTGTTTGTTTGTTTATTTGAGACAAGGTCTCACTGTCATTCAGGCTGGAGTGCAGTGGTGTAATTGTGGCTCACTGCAGACTTTACATGCTGGAATGAGGTAATCCTCCAGGCTCAGTCTCTTGAGCAACTGGGACTACGGTTGTATGCCATCATGCCCAACTAATTTTTTTTATTTTTTTGTAGAGACAGTCTCTTGCTATTTTTGAACTCCTGGACTCAAGCATTCCTTCTGCCTTGGCCTCCCAAAATGTTGGGATTACAGGCATGAGCTACTGCACCCACCCTCACCTTCCTTTTTATTCAGGCATTTCCACTTCTTATAACCAAGAATTGCTTTAGATTTCATTGATATATATTTAGAAATAAACACAGGCCAAGCATATCAAACATTGAAAAAAATCTAAGGTATAGTAAGTCATATTCATTTACCAACAGAATATGCTACAAATGCACTATCTATTACTTTATCACCTTTTAAACTTATATTCATTTATTAGAATACACTAACAAAACATTGATGTTTTCTTTTATTTCTCATTTGAAGAGTGTATACTATATTAGAAATTAAGATATATATATTTTAGCACAAATGGTGCTTGGGTTTTATTCAAATTGATTTTCATTAAAAAGCAAAAGACACCTTACTTGTGTATATGTCGAAACTGAAAAAAGTAACTAAAGACTAGCAGATGAATCTATCTCCAATATCTAATCACTTCTCTAAAACTTGTCTGATTCTGTGACATGTTTGGGTATGTGTCTCTTCCAAATACCATGTTGAAATGTAATCCCCAATGTTCAATGTGGGACATAGTGGAAGGTGTTGGATCATGGGGGAGCATTCCTGATAAATGTCTTGGTACCACCCAACTGAATCTCAGTTTTAAGACAGTACAAATTTATACTTTGGGGATGAATGAGTTCTCTGTCTATTAGTTCATGCAAGAGCTGGGTGTTTAAAAGAGCCTGGCCTCTCCCTCACTCCCTCTCCCTTACCATGTGATGTGCTTGCTCCTTCTTTGTTTTCTGCTATGACTGTAACCTTCCTAAGGCCCTAAGTAGAAGCAAATGGCAGCACCATACTTCCTGTGCAGCCTATAGAACCATGAGCTAAAATAAATCTCTTTTATTTACAACTTACCCAGTTTCAGGTATTTCTTTATATTAATATAGATGGACTAATACAGAAAACTGGTACCAAGGAGTGGAGAGTTGCTATAAAAATACTTGAAAATGTGGAAGCAGCTTTGAAACTGGGCAATGGGCAGAAGTTGGAAGAGATTGGAGGTCTCAGAAGATAGGAAGATAAGGGAAAGTTTGGAAGTTCTTAGAGGCCGATTAAATGATTATGACCAAAATGCTGATAGAAATATATATGGCAAAGGCCAGTCTGATGAGGTCTCAGATTGAAATGATGAACTTATTGGGAACTGGAGTAAACATCATCCATGTTATGTCTTAGCAGAGAGCTTGGCTGCATTGTGTTCATACCCTAGGGATTTTTGGAAGGTGTAACTTAAGAGCAATGACCTTGGGTACTTGCAGAAGAAACTTCTAAGCAGCAATGTGTCCAAGAAGTAGCCTGGCTGCTTCTAACAGCCTACAATTGAATATAGGAGGAAAGAAATAAAATTGAAACTGAAAATTCAAAGGGAAGCAAAGTGTAAATCTTGGAAATTTCCAACCTGTTCATGTGGTAGAGAAGGAAAAAGCATTTTTAGCAGGGGAATTGAAGCAGGCTGTGGATAATCACTTGCTAGAGAGATTAGCATGACTAAAATGGAACCAGGTGCTAATAGCCAAGACTAGGCTTGAGGCACCACTTTCTACCAACTTGGGACACTGTTCTCTACATCTCAGCTGCTCTAACTCCAGTCTCGGCTCAAAGAGTCTCAGATACTACTCTGGCCACATCTCCAGGGGGCATTTTTACATGGCATTAGGTCTTCAGGTGTGCAGAATGCAAGAGTGAAGGAGGCATGGCAGCTTCTATTAGTTTTTTTACCATTAAAAGTAATGTCAATTACTTTTGCACCAACCTAATAACTAGATTTTAGAGGATGTATGAAAAAGCTGGGGTGCCTAGGCAGAAGCCTGCAGCAGGGGTTGATCCCCCACAGAGAAACTCTACTAGGAACATGCTGAAGGGAAATGTGAAGTTAGAGCCACAACACAGAGTCCCCACCCAACACTGCCTAGCAGAGCTGTGGAAAGGGAGCTGCTGCCCTTCAGACTGCAGGATGGTACAGCCTCTGGCAGCTTATACCCTGACCTTGGAAAAGCTAAAGACAGTCAACTTCAACCCATGAGAGCAGCTATGGTGCTTAACCTGAAAAGCTACAGGGGTGGGGCTTCCCAAGGCCCTGGAGTCTCACCTTTTGCACCAATGTGCCCTGGATGTGAAACATGAAGTCAAGGAGAGAATGAAGGCATGTCTCTCTTTGTGACATGCCTACTCTCCTCTCACTTTCTGCCATGATTGAAAGCTTCCTGAGGCCCTCACCAGAAGCAAATGCCAGCACCACCCTTCTTGTGCAGCATGCAGAACTATGGGTCAAAATAAACCTCTTTTCTTTGTAACTTACCCAATGTCAGGTATTTCTTTAGAGAAACACAAATGGACTCCTTAAGCCAATAAACTGATCTGGTGTATTAGTTGAAGTTGATTTTATTTATTGGTAGGATTAAAAAGCAATTTTTACATACATAGAACAAAAAAATACCCCTATAATCATGACTGTCTTATATGACTTAGACTTATTATTCCAGGCATTAATCTGAGATAATTTCAAATAGATTTCAAGGCAGAATCTTTGAAAAGGACAGCAATACTAAGTTCTTTTGGTAGGGAAAACATTGAGTCACCAATATGTTCATAGTTAGCACATTTTATGAAACAAGTATTATGTATTATTGCAAAATATTAAATTCTAATCCCCTTTATTTTATAGTTATTTATTTTTTAACTCCAGGCACATCACTTATTTCTCAGGGTATTTGTAATATGTATTTATATGAACTTCATGTGCTGTCACTACCATTTTAAAGTAGTAAATGTTCCATCTGTTTTAAAAGAAAAATATATCACATTAGCTTTTGTAGCCAGTTCCACTTGCTCAAAATGTTCCTTTCTTCCAATATGAGTTTTTCTTTGTTTTGGGAACATTAGACCAATTAGCATTACTATCAATAGAAGTTGCTATATTTATCTCCCTTGTAGATTTATAAGCAAAAATTGCTATGTCATCTCTGTTCATAATTGTTTAAGATGTGCAATAATAGAAAATTGAATGAGATAACAGAGACATCATTCAGACTATAAATTCTTAATTTAGCATGCTAAGCATCTCAATTGTTTTGCTTTTTATTACTCATTTGCTCTAGTCTCCCACATTGTATAACTAAAAATGAAGTGGTTTAAAAGCTTATTTTCTCACAAATCTTGCCCTCTGCTTTCTAGACAACAATATTTAATACCGAGTTCTATCTAATGCTTTCAAAAAGTATATAGTAAAACAGATCATTTAAAAACTGCCAGCTGCCTGAGGTTAGTGGCGATGACAACAGGTGACAACTTAAGGCAATAAAATGAAATCACAGAGTAACAGCAAATTATCCATTTTAAGATGTTTGTGATTTATAATATATTGCAATTCTGTAAGCTTCAACATACACTACAATGGAATAAAAATAGGTCTGTAAGGAAGTGATCAAGATTTGCAGCTGAACAGAGACAAGTGTTTCCAAAGATATTTCTATGAACAGAGAAACATGCACTAACAATTAGCAAATAATATACGGTTGTCTTTCCATACTCCTGCCAATGCCCATACTAAAAGAGCTTTGTGAGTGTGGGTGCTATGAATTTGGTTAAATGAAAAACCCTGCATAAGGGATTCAGGCATAGGCCCATTTCAATTTGGTAGCCAATATTTTCAGGAAGATGGTATAATTCTTTTTCATCTGCTTAAATAAATAATATTTATTGGAGGTTTTCTAAAAAGGACTGAGAAAATCCTTCAGGAATGATGAGCAATTAGAGTTGGACAACCAGAGCTCCAAAATTAAGTTTGTCTATCAGTTTGTTAAATCATCACACAAAAATCCCTGAAAAGATTTTTACCTGTAATGTTTCAACTATTTGGGCTTAAAATTCAGATTGTGTGGTATAATTAATACTAACTTTGGAAAGCAATGGGAACACCTAAAAGAGATTTTTACTGTCTAGATTAGTTCTGTCCAATAGAACTCTCTTGAATAGTGAAAATGTTTTACATCTGCTTTGTCCAATATTGTAGCCACTTGGCACATGTTGCTATTAAATACTTTGAATTGTGGCTTATGTTGTGTGGCTAAGACACTGAAAATTTACTTTTATTTGCTTTTAACTAATTTAAATTTAAATAGCCACATATTCCCTGTAGCTACTATTTTGGAAAGTACAAGTCTGCAGTATTTGAAAGCAAGGACAAATTTACACCATCTGAGAAGGGGTTTTAGCATAAATATAGCCTATGTGGGAAATTAACTTAAAAATTGAATAAATGTTTAACCAGTTAGCAGTTAATAATTGGGCAAGAATAATTAGATTAATATAAATACTGATTATTTATTTTTGTTGCCAGTTCCTCTGACTTCCAGTACTATGTTCAGTAAGATGGGTGAAAGTGGCACTCTTATCTTGTTCCAGTTTTTAGAGGGAAAGCTTTCAACATTTCCTCATGCAGTATAATGGTGGTTTGGGTTTTTCATATATGGACTTTCTTATGTTTTAATGCATTCTTTCTATAATTAATTTATTCATGGTTTTTTTTATCATTAAAGAATGTTAAATTTTGTCAAATGCTTTTTTCTGCATATATTGAGATGGTAATATGAATTTTGCCCTTTACTCTGTTGAAGTGATGTATCACATTTGTTGATTTGTATATTAAACCATTCTCATGTCCCTATGATAAGTCCTACTTGATCATCGTCTGTAATCTTTTTGATGTGCTGTTGGATTCAATTTTCTAGTATTTTGTTGAGTATCCTGCGTCTATGTTCACACAAAAATATTGGCCTCGGCCGGGCGCTGTGGCTCACGCCTGTAATCCCAGCACTTTGGGAGGCTGAGGCAGGCGGATCATGAGGTCAGGCATTCGAGACCAGCCTGGCCAAAGTGGGGAAACCCTGTCTCTACTAAAAATACAAAAATTAGCCAGTCATGGTGGCACGCACCTGTAACCCAGCTACTCAGGAGACTGAGGCAGGAGAATGACTTGAACCCGGGAGGTGGAGGTTTCAGTGAGCCGAGATCACGCCACTGCACTGCACTTCAGCCTGGGCAACAGAGCGAGACGCTATCAGAAAGAAAGAGAGAGAGAGAGGGAGGGAGGGAGGAAGGAAGGAAGGAAGGAAGGAAGGAAGGAAGGAAGGAAGGAAGGAAGGAAGGAAGGAGAAGGGAAGGGAAGGGAGGGAAAATTGGACTCTAGTTTCAGTTTTTGTTGTGCATTTGCCTGTTTTTGATATCAAGGTAATGCTGGAATCCTATAATGCATTATAAAAAATTTCTTTCCCTTCAGTTTTTTTTTTTAGAAAAGCTTGAGAATTGGTATTAGTATTGGCATTTTTAAAGCTGGGTTTGTTTGTTTTTTTTTTTTGACAAAGGAAACAAAATCGACAAAATCGACTTTCTTTAAAAGTTCGGTTGAATTCATCAGTGAAGCTGTCTTGTCCTGGGCTTTTCTTTGTTGGGTGTCTTTTTATTACTGATTCAATCTTATTACTCATTATTGGTATATTCATGTTTTCTGTTTCTTCCTGAATATATCTTGGTAAGTTGTGTATTTTCAGACATTTATTCATTTTCTCTAGGTTTTCAATTCGTTGGTATATAGTTTTGCATAATAGTTTCTAATGATCCTTTGTATTTCTGAGGTATCGGTTGTAATGTCTCCTTTTTTGTTTGTGATTTTATTTGGGACTTCCCTCTCTCTCTTTTTCTTAGTCTAACTAATATTTTGTCAATGTTGTTTCCTTTCTCCAAAAAAAAACTCAGCTTTTAAAATATTGAACTTTTGTATTTTTAGTCTATATTTTGTTTATTTCTGCTCTAACTTTATTATTTCTTTTCTACTACTTTTGGATTTGGTTTGTTGTTGATTTTCCAGTTCCTTGATGTGCGTTGTTAGATTGTGTATTTTAAATATTTCTACTTTTCAGATGTGGGGATTTAGTGTTATGAGATTTCTTCTTAGTACTGCTTTTGCTATATCCCACAGGTTTTGGTAAGTTGTGATTCTATTTCCATTTACTTCAAGAAACATTTAATTTTTTTTCTTATTTTTTTCTTTGATCCATTTGTCATTCAGTAGCATATTATTTAATATCCATGTATTTATACAGTTTTCAAAGTTGCTTTAGTTATTGATTTCTAGTTTTATTTCATTGTGGTCATAAAAGATACTTGATAATATTTTGATCTTTACAATTATTTGAGACTTGTTTTGTGGCTTAGCATATGATCTATCCTGTATAATGTAAAAGGTGCTAATGAGAAGAAAGTGTATTCTGCTGTTTATGGAGACATGTTCTGTAAATATCTGGTAGGTGATTTTCTTTGCTGTTTCTTCATCTAGCTTATCTGTGGGGTGTTGAAGTACCCAAATATTACTATATTATGATTTGTTGTTACCTTTAGATTAAATAACATTTGCTTGTTATATCTGGGTACTCCAATGTTGTGTGCATTTATATTTAGAACTGTCATGCCCTCTTGTGGAATTGATCCTTTTATCATTGTATAGTGACCTTGTCTCTGTTTATAGATTTTTACTTAAAGCCTATTTTATCTGATATAAATATAGCTACTCTTCCTCATCTTTGGTTTCCTTTTGCATCAAATATATTTTTTCTATTTCTTCACTTTTCAGTCTTATGTGTGTTTTTACAGATGAAGTGAGTTTCTTGTAAGCAGCATATAGTTGATTATTTTCTTTATATACATTCAGCCAGTCTATAATTTTTAAAGTAGAGAATTCAATCTATTTACATTTCAGTTTATTATCAATAGGTAAGGACTTGCTCCTGTCATTTTGTTATTTGTTTTCTTGGTGTTTTGTATTTCCATTGTTTAGTTCTTCTTCTATTGTTTAACTTCGTGATTTGGTATTTTTTCTGCAGTGGTAGCATTTGTTTTTTTTCTCTTTTTTTATTTGAGTATCTTCTCTATCAGTGAGTTTTTTACTTTTATGTGTTCTCATGAGGGTGGTTATCATCCTTTCACTTCCAGGTGTTTGACTCCCTTATGCATTTCTTGTAAGCCAAGTATAAAGGTGATTAATTCCCTCAGTTTACCCTTGTCTTAGACTTTATTTCTCCTTAATTTCTGAATTATAGTTTTGTTGAGTATAATATTATTGGCTGACAGTTTTAGTTTTTTTAATTTTATCACTTTAAATATATCATCCCATTTTCTCCTTGCCTGTAAGATTTCTGGAGAGAAATCTGCTGATAGTCTAATGAGGATCTCCTTATATGTGACTTTATGCTTTTCCATTGCTATTTTTGAATTCTTTCTTTGTCTTTGACATTTGACACTTCACCTATATGTGCCTTAAAAGGGACATTTTGGGTTATGACTATTTGGGTTGAGAATATTTTAACTTCCTGGATCTGGATCTTATGTCTCCCAAGACCTGAGTTTTCAGCTATTATTTCATTAAGTAGATTTCTTATACCTTTTCCATCTCTTCTTCTGAAAATCTCATTTTGTAAAATGTGTTCATTTAATGATTTCTCATAAATCCTATAGACTTTCTTCATTATTTTTATTTTTTTCTGTTTTGGGGGAGTGTCTTACTGGATTATTTCAAAAGTCCCTTCCTCAAGTTAGGGATGCTTCCTTTGCTTGATCTAGTATATTGTTGAAGCTCTCAACTGTACTTTTTATTTCATTCATTGGATTTTTCAGCTTCAACATTTCTGTTTGGTTCTCTTTTATGATATCTACCTCTTTGTTGAATTCCTCATTTCAATTCATAGTCTCTCAAATGAGAGTTCTCTCTCAACAATTCATGATGTCTTATTTCAGAGATCATGAATTGTTTCTCTGATTTTTGTTCAATTGTCTATCTGTATTGGCTGAGTTTTCTTAATAATATTGTCAAAATTTTTTTCAGGTATGTATGTTTATTTCATTGGTGTCAGTTACTGGAGAGTGATTGTGGTTTTCGGTGGTGTCATGTATCCTTGATTTTACATTTTTCTTGTATCATTGTATTATATCTGTGCATTTGGTAAGACAGTCACCTCTTCCAGTTTTGTAGAGTGGCTTTCATGGGGAAAGACTTTTACCTGCAGATGTTTCCTAGGATTTGGGTCGGGTAAGGTATATTGCCTTTGTTTGGACAGTGTAGTAATGTAGTGTCTGTGGAGTTTCTTCAGCTGTAGGCAATGTATGCAATGCCTGTGAGGACCTCAGTGGCTTATACTACAGAGGTTTGTGTGGCTGGTTTGACTACGGGCTCTGCTCTGCACTCCAGAGAAGCATGGTTGCCCTGCATCTTGACTCAAGCACTGCTCCTAAGGAGGCAGAGCACCAGGTTGATCTGTGCTCACAAAACACATGTGGCTGATGAGTTGATGGCTCTGTGAAAGTACTGCTAATTTGGGTGCAGGGTGCCAGGCTGGTATGCACTCCAGAGAAGTATGGAGCTGGTAGACCTGCAGCTTGGCTCAGGGGCTGCTCCCTTTTGGGAGGAGTACCATTCTGTCCACTCTCCAGGGAAGCATGGCCTGGCTGGGTGCCATCGCTGCTTGAGTTCTTCTTCCTGGGGTCATGGAACCAAGCTTGTCTGTGTTCCAGGGAAAGATGAGGGTCACAGTTATTTTATAAATGATTACTAGGATATTCTAATGCTAAAAAAATCACTGCTCTGGTGGCTCATTCCTCTCTATCGCTGTCAAATCCTCTCCTTTGTATAAACTGCAAAAACTGTTTGATGTTAGTACTTTTAAGAAACCAGGGAGAAAATCTGGGTAGCAGCTATTTGCAGCTTCTTAACAGACTGTTTTTTAAAATGCTGTCTAGGACACCAGAGGAGTAAGACAAGTGAGACAAGCTCAAATAAAGAGAATTAGGAAAAAGCTTAGAGCAAGAGAGTTGGTAGATTTTAAAGAAAGAGGAAACTTTATCAAAATAAGTATGGGCTAAAATGATATGAAACCAGTAGGGTGATAATTGCCCCAGAGACAAGAAGCACAAAAATATTTATGTTTTCATTTAAGAAGGCATAAAAGAAACATGAAAAATAAAATAAAATCCATAGTCACTACTATGATTTTCTCAACATGCCTATAAAACAGTGACGAATGACATATTTAGGAGATACAAAACAAGTCAAATAGACACAGTCTTAGTTTTTTCAGCTGTAAAGAGAAACTAAAATTTTGTACTAACAGGTATAAATTTTGATATTGGTGGTGGACAATTTAAATGTCATTCCAGTTTAATGTTATTTTACATAGAGAGAAACTGAGGCAAAGGAAGTTTTCATGGTTTACTCAATTTTCAAATACAATAATGAAATGGGATTTGTCAAATCCTTTAGAAAAAAATCACTAAAATTTTGGCACCTGTTATTATATAATCTGTAAAATAATTATGTTTACACAGGTATATGTTCCAATTCCAATAAGGTTTAAAATGTCTTCCGTTGTGTTCTCTTTCAATAAATTAAATTTAAAAATCATTCCTTTGGTATTTCATCTAGAATATGGTCAGAGTATTTTTTTTTTTTTGTAAATTTGGAGCATTTGTCCATTTGCAGTTTTCCAAAAAATCTTCCTTTCCACTATTGCTTATAAAGTATCAAAGCTGGCTTGCAGATCACCTCACATACATAGCTCCTCTAAGTTCCTTCAACCTTTGATTTTGAATTCATTCAGGGTAGCATGATTTCTTCACCTGTGATATGCTCTATATATTTGTTTTGTTCTTTCCATTTTGAAGATCACATCACTTCCTAAAGAAGATAGAACAAAAGACCACTTGAGCACTTCTCCTACCATTTTCTACACTTCTAAATGACACCAGCTTTTACAGATGACAGATGTATGTATTCCATTTTCATCTTATTGTTAAGGGGTTTGGTAGTTTTTTTCCTTAAAGCATTATTTATCATGTTATCTGACATTATTTATATACGTCTATAATTTTTTTTAATATATTTTTTCCTTAATGCTGCAAACCTTCTTTGATCATTTGGGCATATTCTTTTTTAAAAATTTGAGCTAAATAGCTTACAGAGATTATTACACAGAAGAAAAGCATCTTTAATCTTCTTAGAGGTTAGTATTAAGACCTGATAAAAGTGAATCTTTTAACTTTTTTGATATTGGAAATACTGTTTCTCACATTTTCCATTACTATCTAGCAGACATGTCATTAATATTATTTACATGCCTACTTTCTTGTAAAGTCCTTAGAAATTTTTTGCACTTATTAAATCTTAAAGTCCCAAGGACCAAAATAGATGGGACACATTGTTCTCACCTTATAATCACATAAATTGAGACATAGAACAGTAAGTGATCTTTGTAACCCCATAGCTTTTGGGGTTATTTCAACATTTTCAGAACAACAACAACAAAACTATTAGTAATGACTTCTAAATGCATTAAATTGAGGATGTGTACACTATCATGTTGCTCTGAAACTCATTGTTTGAACTACAAGTATAATGTGAAAGTAGAAAAGAAAATAAAAACAAAGAGACCTTGAGAACCAAGGTTAACTTGGTCATTTCCTTAAAAATATTTTGCAGTGTGAACTATAGACTCTAAGAGGGGTGGATATTAAGTTTTCTGCCCTTTAAAAGTCATTTACAATGTCAATGCTGTGATTTTCCCTTATAATTTCCAAAAATAACATATTCTGGATCTGGATCTGTTCTCAGTTTGTATGATAAGATACTAACTGTATTACCAATGTCCCCTCACTTTACGGATAACCTAAATATTGCATTTAATTAGGCCAGTCATAGTGAGTGCTCTCATGCTTGTGAGTTTATTTATGTTTTCATATAATTTCTCCTTTTCAAGATACAAGAAACATATTCTTAAACAGAAGCCATTTCATGACCTCCGTGAACACTAAAATATATGTATAAATCCATTTACATAATGTTCATAATCAAACAAAAGTATTTTAATAAAAGTCAGAAGAGTGGCTGGATGTGGTAACTCATGCCTCTACTTACAGTATTTTGGTAGGCTGAGGAGGACAGAAGGCTTGAGCTCTGGAGTTTGAGACCAGCCTGAGCAACATGGTGAAACCCCCTTCCCTACAAAAAATACAAAAATTAGCTGGATGTGGTGGCACGCACCTGTAGTTCCAGCTACTCAGTAGGCTGAGGATCACCTGAGCCCAGGAAGGTCAAGGCTACAGTGAGTCGTGATGGCCCCGCTGCACTCCAGCGTGGGTGACAAAGTGAGACTCTGTCTAAAACAACAACCACAAGCCCAAAAAAACAATGTTAGAAGAGTAATTGATAACATTTGAGGTAGAGGTATCTGTGAGATTAAAAAAGAGGGAACTTCTGAGGTGCTGCTAATTTTCTATTTGTAATCCAGATGTTTATAGAATATGTATGTTCACTGTGAAATTCTTTAATTTCTGCACTTGTGATTGATGTATTTTCTTGATATATTTGTTATTTTGTTAAAAGTTTTATTTTATAAATAGGTTAAAAACAGTAGCTATATCTGAGAAGGAGACAACTAAATCCTTCATGAGAAATAATTCAGGGCAGGATTACCTACAGATACACAGAAGAAAAACAAGTATTTAAAACAGGAATGACTCCAAAGTGCAAAATGTTAACCGCTATCCACTGAAAAGACATAAACAATCCCACCACTGAAGGCAAGTCTACAAACTCAATAATGCATATCTCTTCTGAGTACAAAACTTTCAAGCCATTGTCAAATGATCCGGGCATGTAAAAGTCTAGCCCATATTTAAGGATTAGTCAAGTGACTACTCAAACATGACTAAAATTGCTCCAGACTTGGTTTATTCTGCAAGACAACAATCAAGAAATGGAAAGATGATATAAGATAAAAAGTACAAATGAGTAGCAACAAGATCCTAATACAGTTCTAGTTCCTCATGGAATTGAGTTCAAAATATAATAATATTAATAGTCTCTTTAGAGTAAGAAATCTACCAATAAATAAGGGCCCTAAAACATTGGCCCACTATATTTCTACTCTCTAGGTTGTAGGCTACATTCTATCATTACATGGGTATTCTTGCCATGTGATAATTACCTAATTTCGTTTTCTTTCTTATGGATACGTATACAGGCTTCTACAAAGCATGACCACAGTCTACCGTCTACTTCTCAAATCTCTGCCTATATTAAGATTCTGGTGCCAATTTAGCGTCCTGAGACATGGGCCAACTAGATCTTCTAACTCACTAGAGTAAAATACAAGCATCTTTCTGGACCAAGACAATTAGTCATTTATATCTATCTTAAACCATGAAAAGCCAAGCCTGTTTCCTCCCAAGAGGTCCAGACTTAGAAGAAAATGCTGCTCAACTCATATCAGAGGGCTCTAAGAAAGCCCTAAATTAAAGTCAGTTTTCTCATTAATCAGTCCCAGGAGTTGTTAATGGCCTGGAGAGGAATGTTTATATGAACATGCAAGAAAAATATCTGATGTAATCATGCAGGAGATATTTCATTAAAAATATTAAGAAGTGAAAGATGATAAGAAAACATTAGAAGAAAGTGCAATTTGGGGGCACAGAATACTAAAGTTCATGTGAATGTATTGATTGTATAGAGGTTTTTCCTCTTTTTTGTTAATTTTAAAATAGATACATAACAATTGTGTATATTTATGGCATGCATGTAGTATTTTGATACTTGCATACAATGTGTAAGGATCAAATTAGAGTAAAGGGATCAATTTCAAATGTACTAATGATAAAAATACATTGGAGAAATCTGCTAATTATTTAGAAACAATAAAAATAATTCATTTAAAAATGTATTATTTATAGAAATACAAATAATACAGTATTAGAAGCAGATATGGGTAAAACTCTGATTTTTGTGGATTGATCATACCTCCTGGATTATCCACGATGGTGCTATTGTTTGCAACAGGTCTTTTGGTGTAATCATTAATAACCTGCTGTGCTCTCAAAATAATCAATAATTGAATAATAAATTATATTTTCACCATAAACATATTTAATGTATATTATGAATAATTATTCTGATGATCTGTTAAAAATTATGAATAAGAATATTATTTTTAATATTGCTTTATTGTAACTAGGTACAATTATTTCTATTTTAAAAAAATAATATAAATTTTACAATCCAAATATTTTGTAGCTCCTTTCAATTGCAAAACTGTGGAGTTTACACAATGAATTATATGGCCTCACTTTTATCAGATGAAGCTTCAAGGTAAGTAGTCCACTAAAGTAGAAAAAGCAAAATAAGGAAACAAATCCCTAGTGTTCAGTTATACTGGAAAAATTGTCTAAACCCAATGTTCTTACTTACTGTATCAATTTTAAAAAATGTTATTTTAAGATGTCAAGGAATATATAATTACAGCTAATTGTAGCATACATATAAAGACTTAAGATCCTATAATATACCCACGTAAACTTTACAAGTTTTAAAAAATTATGTTTTGATATTCACAACCATTTACCTTAAAAGAAATTTCAGCTGTGAATTATTAAATGGTACTTAACATTACTGTAAGTGAAAGAAACTAACAGGAAAAAAATCAAACCTTATATTCTGTATTGCATTTGTGTGTTTGTGTGTGTGCATGTTTCTATATGTTGTTATTCATTAGAATTTTAATAAAATACTTCTATTAATATGTCATATAGTTTTTTATAATTATTAATTGTATCATGATTTTTCATACTATATCCCAAGGAAACTTGGGCCCTTTTAGTTTGATTAAAAAGAGAAAAATTAGTTTCTATGGATTTTCAAAGTTTCATAATAATTTGAAAATATTGTTCAATTTCACTCTAAAATTAGAGAGTGCATCTTGGTAAATGGCTAGTACACTCAGCAGTTAAAAATAGTAGAGAATTGTTAAGTAGAAGACAGGCTCCATTTATTTTCCCAGTAATCTCTCAAAGTAATGATACTATTATTCAGAACTCTAATTTGTATGTGTAATTACACATGCATATAGATACTCTCTCCCACACCTCTATTAATACAAACTTCCACATGATTGCATTTTTATTCATTTTCAAAGAAGAGAACTACTAAATTAATGGAGGTTACTAAAAGTTTCTTAACGCTTTAGTCACATATTATAGTACTGAAGGTGAAGAATTAATTTATGTCTTAGGTATTTTTTTTAAGTAGGATCAGATAAATTTTAAAAATGTCACATTTTCATTGTGGTATCTGTGAATGTGTCATATTAAAAATAGATTATTTAGAATTTTAATTCAGTGGTGCATTTAGAATTTTGCAAAGCATGGTAATATTATTCTAATACAAAGCAGAAAAAAGAATGGGGAGAGGAGGTAGGAGATGTTCAATTCATATTAACATGATAAATCCCATGACAGATGTGTTTTGTTTGTAAAATAATAAAGTGAATTTGTGGCTATAGAAGTGCATATCTTCGGTGTAAAAATGTTACAAATGTTTCAAGAATTCCTTTACCTTCTAAATCAGTCTTCAAAATGTAATATGAAAACACTCATCAAAATATTACTTAGCTAACATATAATCAACTAGAATAATAAGAAATATTATTGTTTAAAGATTTCTACAACAAATATGTAGTAGGAGGCCATGGAAAATTGCTAGTTTATGGTTTTAGCTCTTTTGGGCAAGTGGAAATACAGCAGCTATGAATTTTAGTTCACAGACTTGAATATGCAACCAACTCACATTGTAGTAGTTTTAAAATCAAATTAAATACTGAGGACCACTCAAATAAACTGAGGGAAATATTTAGTAAATATTCAGTCACTGTTCCCAACCGATTTAGACCAAAATGATTGTGATCCAAACTGATTTTTTTTTTAAAGTTCAGACTCTAACCAATTCTATGACTCCTAAAGAAAACATTTTCATTAGCTTAGAGATCTATTATCCAGGGTAAAGCTTGGTTAGCCAAACACTCTCCCTCTTGTTTTTTTTTTTTTTTTCCCTTCAGATCAAGTCTCTCTACACCAAAATCAGCTTTCAGTTTCCATGGAACCAACTGATAGATGCCCCTACCTGAGGCCTGGTGGGTCAGATATCTCTATTCACTTCACCCTTGGATGACTATCTTCACCTTTCTAGAGTTCTTAGTCAAGCACAAGCGAAAAGGGGAAACTTCAGTTTTTATTTGCCAAAAAAAGAGAGAGGAAAATATGTCCTTGAAGCAAAGGAGCAAGACTTAGTTAGTTTGAAGCACATTAAAGAAGACTACAGAGGAGAAGGCAAAATGTACTTATTTTAAAATGTTCTCCAGCTTAGTTGTATACACATTTTCTTCACTGTTATCTAGACTTAACTTTATTTTAAAATATTTCAAGATAAGACAAAAATATATAATAACATATGGATACTAATCAAATGTTACCAATACATTGGAGTCCCCCTCATCCTCCCAGATATAATACAATCCCCTCTTGCCACCACACAGGTAAGCACTATCCTGAATGTCAAATTTTTTCTGACATTTGCTTATTTCTCTCAAAATTCTGTATGTGAGTTATACCTTTGTTTATACATGTAGCACTATTTTATTCATTTTTATTGCTATACACTATAATTATGCTATGAATTGAATTATGTACCCTCTAATTTCATAGGTTGAAGTCCTAACCCCCAATATGATTGTATTTGGAGATAGAGACTTTAGGAGTTAAAGAAGGTTGTTAGGTCATAAAGATGGGGCCCTAATTCCATAGAACTAATAGCTTTATAAGAAGAGGAACAAAGAGAAGCCTCTTTCTTCAAGCACATGCACAGGGGGAAGACCATACAAAAATATGATAACCATCTATAAGCGAGTCAGAGAGCTCTCACCAAAAAAACAAATCAGGCAGAACCTTAATCTTAGACTTTCAGCCTCCAGATCTGTGTTAAAATAAACTTCTGTTGTTAAAGTCACATTAAGTTTATGGTATTTTGCATGGAAACCTGAGCAGACTAATTAAAAAAATTAATATCACATCCTTTCTTCTTAATGTATATCTAAGCATGCAATTACATGTCTAATAAAGCTTGGTTAATAGAAATGTTATGCATAGGTACTTGGAAATGAGAAAATATACTCAATTTTTTATTTACTAAATATTTTTATTTATTTATTTATTTTGAGACAGGGTCTCATCCTCTCACCTAGGCTGAAGTGCAGTGGTGTGATCATGGCTCACTGAAGCCTCAATATCCTGGTCTTAAGCCATCCTCCCACCTCAGCGTCCTAAGTAGCTGGGACTACAATCACACACCACCAAGCCCAGCTAATTTTGTACTTTTTTTGTAGAGACTCAGTCTGGTCTTGAACTCCCAGGCTCAAGTGATTTTCCTGCCTCGGCCTCCAAATTGCTTGGATTACAGGCATGAACTACTGTGACCGGCCAACTAAATTATTTTTAAAAAAATAATTGTACTGATTTACGTTTCTACCAGTAGCCACAGTGTATAAATATTTTTGTTGTTTGGCCCTTCACTAAAACATGATATTATTAGATATTTATTTTTGCCATTCTGATGGGTGTGGACTATTTTCTGATGCTTTTAATATTTACTTTTTCCTGCTAATAATCTTGTTTATTTCATATGGGTATTGTTCATTCATAGTGAATCATGTTCTCTAAATTTTCTTTTTGCATTCTTTCAGAGTGAATCCATTTCTTTAAATTTTCTTTTACATTTACTTTTTTAATGTAGAGGACTTCTTTATATTAATTGTTGTGAGACAGTTTTTCATGTGTCTTTGATATTTCTGCATGTCTTGATAATACAGTCATTGATTGACTTTGTTCTGGACTATCTCTTCAAGGATATTTGAATAATGATCACCCTCAAGAGATAAGAGATAGTGGTTCCCTCTGAAGCAAATGGCAAATTCTTATACTGGCTAAATATAGATAAAGATAATGTAATAAAGATAATGTCTCCTTCAGGATAGAGTTTGGGCAAACTTGTCAATTATAAAATATTCAGGTTTTCTAATTTCAGAGTTCCTAACCTGTAATGGAACCTGCTTAGGTTTTCTTTTTTTTTTCTTTTTTTAAGCACACTAGAAAAAAGTGAAGGAGTTTGAAGGACATGTATTTAAGGAAGAATTTTACAAGCAGCAGCAGAAGCCAGTATAAATGCCTTATGGTGGGACCATGACTGATTGTTTAAAATCTTGTAAGCTGACCAGTGTGACTGAAAAAGGTTGAGTGAGGAAGAGGAAAGAAGGTTAGATTAGACTGGGCAGCAAGGCTTGGGGGAAGATTACATAGCTTTGATGGCCATTCTAAGAGTTTTGACTTCTATTCTGAGTAAAGCACAGAACCAAGAGATCACTATGGTTAATGATACAATTAGAGACTGTCAGGTGGCAGGTAGAGCAAGGACAGAAATATGAATTAGAAAGACATTATGCTAATTCAGGCAAGAATGGTAGTGGTTTGGACCAATATCTGCAAATGAAGAAAAACAAATGCATTATGTATCTGTTTTTATAGGCAAAAGCATCAGGGTTTTCTGATGCATTGAATATGGAGTGTGAGAAATCAAAGATACTTTGAATTTTCTTGGCCTGAGCAACTGGAAGGATAAAGGATGTTGACATCAACTGAGATGTGGAAGGCTTAGTAGTGAGAGAAGAAAGTTAGTTTGGGTGATAGGATCAAGAGTTCAGTTTTTTAAATTATGGCATTGAGTTATGTATTAGAATGTAATGTAGTGGTGCTGAGCATGCAGTTTGCAGCAGAGGTATAGATTACAGATATATATTTGGGAATGTCAGTAAATAAATGACATTTGAAGCCATTAGAACAAATGAGTCATTAATATTTAGATGGAAAAGAAAAGAAGACATATAACTGAACTTGGGGCTTTCCATGAAATTAAAGACTATAGAAATTTTCAGAGAAAGTTAGAATAACAAAGAGTAGTAGTAAGATAGGAGGAACCAATGGAGATATGTAATCTTAGAAGTAAATAAATAAATAAATAATAAAAGGGAACTGTATCAAATGCTCATGTGAACAAAATGAAAAATGAAAAGGAACATTAAATTTAGCAATGTGGAGAGCACGGTGAACTTGAAAGGAGCAATTTATGCAAAAAAATACAGCTCACATACAGTTAAAATTTACGTTTGGTATTCAATACAGTTAATAGATAGATATAATACAAAGCGGGGAAAAAAAATATATAGTCAGGGGAATAATGAATCAGAAGTGATCCAGAATGGACATAGAAGATATAATTAGTAGAAAACAATTTAAAACAATGATTAGAACTGTATTTCGTATGTTCAAAGGATATTGAAATGGGTTATATTTTTTAAAGATACAGATAAACTAGAGAAGAAAACAATATATATTCACAAAAATATATAGTATTTAAATATATAAATAACAATATGCAAAAATATATATTTACATATAAAATTATATATATATCATATATATAAATATCATATATATATATATGCAATGGGATTGATAGCAGATTAGCCATGAGGAAAAAAAGATTGGTGAATTTGAGGATGTTATAATATAAACTACCAAATTAATATTCAAGGAGATTATAGAAAAAAATTAAAAAACTGAACTGCATCTAAGTGAACTGGGGCAACTTCAAGTTGTCTAATATGTCTAACTGCAGTCACCAAAGAAGGATGGTGAGCAACAAATATTTGAAAATAATAGTGGTTGAAAATTTTCAAAATTTGCTGCAAATGAACAGATCCAGGAAATTTTAAAAACACCAAGCACAAAAATCGTAAGGAAAAGTACGTGAGGGTTCATCATAGTAACATTTCTCAAAACCAGTGTTAATGAAAAAAAATGTTAAAAGCAGCAAGAATTGATTGATAGGTTTTATACATAGGAAGAAATATAAGGATAACAACAGATCTCTAAATAACTTATAAATCAAAGAGGAAATCAAAAGCTAAAGTATTAACATTTTGGAATGATGTCAGCAAGACAGTGGTATAGGAAACCACAGGTCCTTATTCCTTCCTGGAGACACTAACCTAACAATATACAGACGAAATTGCTTTTGTGAAAGCTTCAGAAACAAATTAAGAGGTTGGAGCACCCAGATGAATGCAAAACCAGGAAGTGACATATCAAAACAGGAAGGAAAATTTACCTACCATAGTCAATCCCCCTAAGAGAGAAGCGGACCATGGATTAAACATTCTGGCTTTTCAGGGACTGCCCGAGGGACTCATTTCTGTCTGTCCTGACAGCACTGAGAGAAGCACTGGTTTGGACATCCAGTTCTTAGTCATCATTAGGGGATTTCGAGAACAAAAGCAAGCACTGTGGCTTGTTAAGCACCAGAGAGATAGTAATATTGCAGATAGACAACAAGAAGAAATTGTGGAACATAACATAAGAAATTATGGAAACCAGAGAAGAAATACCAACATCTTTAATTGGAAAATTAAATATCCCCAAGACAAGATAAAGCATATCTTTTAAAAAGATTTGAGAAAGCTTCAGAGCTTCAGAATATTGATGCAGGTTGATTGATAAAGGTCTTCCTGTGTATGAAGACAGTCCATAAAAACTGGGAGAAATGGCTGTATTGTCAAATGCCAAAATCACAACAAAAGATCCCAAAACATACAAATAAAGAGGAAAATATGGCCCTAAGAGAAGTAAAACAAATCTCTAGAAACTGACCCTAAAGAAAGGAGATTTATAAATTACCTGACAAATAATTCAAAATAACTGTCTTAAAGATGCTCAAAAAAGGAAACACATATAGAAAACTAAATAGAATCAGGAAAATAATGCCTGAACCAAATGTGAATATCTACAATGAAATAGAAAACTCACTTTCAAATACGGACAGAACAAGCAGACAGAGGATCAATAAGGAAACAGAATTTAAACAATACTGTAGCTCTGTTGGACCTAATAGACATCTATGGAACATCACACCTAATAAAAGCAGAATATGTATTCTTCTCAAGTGCACATAAAATATTCTCCAGAATATACCACATGTTAAAATAAACAAAAAAAAAACAGAAATAAATTTTAAAAATTTGTAAAAGATGGAAATCATGCAAAGCACATTTTTCATCCATGATAAAATGAAACTATAAATCAATACCAGGGAAAAACAAAACAAAACAAAAAAATGGAAAAATTCATGAATATATGAGAATTAAACAACAAACTCTCAAACATCTAATGTATTAAAGAAGAAATTATAATGAAAATTAAAGTAAAAAATATCTTGAGATAAATGAAAATAAGAACACGTTACATCAAAATATATGGGATGCAGCAAAATAGTATTAAGAGACAAATTTATAGTGATAAACACTTATATTTAAAAAAGAAATAAATCAACAATTTAACCTTACACCTCAAGGTACTAGAAAAAGAAGAATAAACTAATTTCAAAGTTAGCAGAAGAAAGGAAAGAAAAATTAGAACATAAATAAAATAGAGAATAGAAAAAAATTTGATTTTTTTGAGAAGATTAACAAAATGACAAATCCTTAGGTATATTAACTAAGAACATAAGAAAGAGTACCGACATAACTAAAATCAGAGATAAGAGGCATTACAACTAATGCCACAGAAACAAAAAGAATTATGACATTACTATGAATAATTATACATCAACAAATTGTACAACCCGGAAGAAATGGATAAATTTCTAGAAACATACAACCTACCAAACTAAATTATGAAAAAATAAGAAATCCGAACAGGCCTATACCAGTAAGAATATTGAATCAGTCATCCTAATCTCCCCAAAAGAAAAAGCCCAGGACCACACAGCTTCACTTTAGAACTCTACAAAACATTTAAAGAACAAATACCAATCCTTTTCAAATTTTTCAGAAAATTGAAGAGGAGGGAATCACTTCCTAACTCCTCCTGTGAGATCAGCATTACCCTGTAACTAAAGCCAAAGACACTACAAGAAAACTATAGACTAATATTCCTGACAAATATTGATACAAAAATCCTCAACAAAATACTATACTAGCCAACTGAATTCAGCAGTGCAGGTAGGCATGTAGAGAGATTTTATATAATTTTATACAATCGCTTGATAAGTGGTAGCATAACTCTAGAAACACTCTAGAAGTAATATTGACAAAGTATTGATTTCTAACTTTATAAGAATTTTTCTCTCTTGAGTACATTCCATGCTTCATTGTGATTTTGATTATAATTAATCATAAGATGTATTATGAGGATGTCAACTTGTCAACTAACTAAAGAGCTAAGCACAACAATTTCCTTTTTTAAATGTGGCCTGGAGAATTATTCATTAATAACAAGAATGAAAAGTGAGAAGGGCTCCCTCCCACTATTGTTGCCCTTTTTTTTTTTTCTGGAGTGTACAAATTCTTTTCATCTTTTATATTTTGTGCTAAATTCCAACAGTCACTATTGGAAACAATAATGCTTTTATGTAAGAGCAGACTGACTCACTATTTTTTTACATGGAGAAGCTTTGACCTTTCTTGTTATTATCATTGTTTCAATATTTATTTGTATGTAACTTGGAAAAAATTAGCGATGTGCATTTAAATATTGTATTAGTCAGGGTTCTCTAGAGGGACAGAACTAATAGGATAGATGTATATATGAAAGGGAATTTATTAAGGAGAATTGACTCACATGATCACAAGGTAAAATCTCACAAAAGGCCATCTGCAAGTTCGGAAGCCAGGAAGCCAGTAGTGGATCAGTCCGAGTCTCAAAACTCAAAAGTAGAGAAGCCAACAGTACAGCTTGTTCAGTCTGTGGCCAAAGCCTGAGAGCCCCTGCAAACCAGTAGTATGAAGTCCAAGAGTCCAAAAGCTGAAGAACTTGGCGTCTGATGTTCCTAGGCAGGAAGCATCCAGCGCAGGAGAAAGATGAAGGCCGGAAGACTCAGCAAGTCTACTAATTCCACCTTCTGCCTGCTTTTTCTATCCTCGCTGGCAGTCCACCCAGATTAAGGGTGGGTCTGCCTCTCGCAGTCCACTGACTCAAACGTTAATCCCAGACACACCCAGAAACAATACTTTGCATCCTTCAATCAAGTTGACACATAATATTAACCAACACACACATTTTTACGACTTATTTTGATGTTAATTTGTCCGCTATTTGAGTTTTAGAGTGACTCATAATCCTAATTTTCTTTCACTTTTATTCTTATTTACTGCCCTGGACTGTGTCATTATATATATATTTTTTTCTTTTTTTTCCTTCAGTTTTAGGAACCAACTCTACTCTCATTCAAGACTCATGCCCTTAAGACATTGTCATTAACCTCAAGTATGAAACTTTGTCAAAAATGCTTTCTAGAGTGGAAACAAGTTTGTCATTCCATTAGAAAATGTGCAACTGTGTTCTGAAGCTTTTATTTTAATCTTTAAAATTATTCTTTATGTTTGGGAAGGCAGTGAATGCTTTTTTATTATAAAATTATAGATTTTCTCTGTAAGGAACTCAACTTTCGCTGCTGCACATGTACTTAGGTTGATAGTTCTCTACACCAGACAGATGCATTTATCACAATACAATTAGAAGCTTATAAAAGCTTCAATTGGTGAGGATTTTTCAGAAGTTTTCAGGCATCGACATTATAAGATTCTCTCTCATCTTATCATTATATTTCTCTATTATGACCATACTATTTTTACTTACTGGTGGGAACTATAATGTTGCCATTTTATCCTAATAAATTGAGCTATTAAAAAGGTTTAGTTTGTCATGGCAAGTCGAATATGTTCTTATCAAAATATAGTGTTGCTCCTATTCTGTATTTATTCCAAATTATGAGGTTAATTTAAGATATTGCTTCAAAGATGATAACAAATTTAAAATACTTGAATTCTATGTGAACAAATTGGCAGGATGAGATATAAAATAAAATGAAAATTCAATGAATTGGCATGAATTAAGAAGCTGGAAGTATGAACATAAATATATGTGTGTCATGTTGAGGAACATATATAATGTTAAGTAAAACCTCTTTTCTTCAAAAAGTCTACATTATTTAAAAATTTATTGGTGGAGCCTTTCAGCTAATAAAATCTCTGAATTTATTTAACTTCAGTGAAAGGAACTTCACTTTAAGCAATCAACACTAAAATGTGTTCCCTGAATTAAACAAAATACTAGCTAATGGAAAGAAATAACATTTTTTGAACATTTATAGCAAGCTTTTAGACCTCACAGCAATCCAATAATATTTGAAAATCCTTAAGGTAAGATGAAATCTGGGTTTGACTAACCAAGTAGCCTTCTGCTTAATCTAGTGTGCTAGCTTTCTATAAAGTACTGTTTCAGCAGCCTGCATAAAAGTCCTCTGGGAATTTATGTTAAAATCCACATTCCTCAACTTAACACAACCATCTGAATCACAATCTCTATATATGGCACAAGTATTAATAAGCCTCGTGGGTGGTTTTTATATACACAAGGTTTAAATGTCATTGTATCATACCATGCTTCTGCAATATTACCTGATTTTATTGCCAAAGGTAAGAGTTCTCAACTCTTGATTTGTGTCAAAGATTTTAAAAAATTAAATCGTTAACATGATCTATTTTTAAGCTGAGTATCCTGGTCCTGCCAAAATCAATGGAAGAATTGGAAAACTGAACAGAAAAATACAGAGTCTCCCTAGAGAAGCTCAGAGAGTGAAGTATAAATAATGTATCATCCTGTTCAAGGTAGACTGTTCTAGTGTACTGATACACAAGATTCTCTTGTCAGGCATCATATTCAGTTACTAAAGTAGTTTCAATGGAATCATCCATAAATCAATGTTGATATCTATTGGAAAGAAAACACAATATGCAAGTGCCACCAATCTATCTAGTCATTAAAGTCCATGTTAAATGACAATACTCTCTGTCAATCTTGTGTAAGTCTAGCTAAAGTCCAGTGCCATAAACATGTCCTAAGAGCACAGACTAAATCATCGTAAACAAAATGTTAATTTGGGAAAAGCAAGAGGAATAAAACAGTGAAGTGACTTTATCCTTCTAGAACATAAATAAGTATTTTGTTATCCAGGTGTTAAAACAATAAGCAAAATCCAGAAGATAAAAGAATGATGTGCCACTTATAGTCTCTTTTAGCTTTATTTGTATATAGAGACAATAAAATTTGAAAACAAAAAATTTTAAAAGCATAATATAAGAAAGATAGTAGGATTTTTCTTAACAGATAAAATAGAATTTCATGTTATTATATAACTTATTCAATAGATCTGAAAACATTTTAATAATAAAAGTTTTCCTGAATGTAGAAGATTTTTCACAAGAAGACAGTCACTTGTTTCAGTAGGTACAAAAAGAATGATTAAATAAAAACCAAAGGAGCTTTACGCAAGACAGTGTAAAATTTTAAACTTTAGATTTTTCCATCTATTCATAGAATCTTATGGTATCAACATACAAGCCTAGATGATTGAATGATCATGTCATTATTTTTTAATGTTTAAATAGTTCTGTCTTTATTATCTGTTACATTGTAAAGGCTATGTTAAGTGATGAAAATAGATTGATCTCAGATTAAATGACACACACAAAATACTGATGTTTTATATATGCACATCCAGATTGAGGAAACAATAATGCAGGTAATATCACGTCTTATTTATAGTTGTAAACTCAGTCATCATCACTAGCTGGCATTTAATCACATTTATGAGTGTTGTGTGGGTGCCACAAAATCCAAGATTGAAAAGTGCAATAATAATATTTTTATTAGAATAAAAAAAAACTTCATCCTAGTCTACTTTTGTCCATTTATACGTGTATGAATATTTCCTTAGTGATTGACTGTGGCTATTATTTCTAGACTCTAAAATTTAAATAGTCAGAATTAGGTTATTAGAATTATTAAACTATATATAACCTTTTGTCTCCTAATTATAGACCCCTAATTATCTTACTTGATAAACATGAAGTCATGACTATCGTTATGATTTAATCAAATCTATTCTGCTATAAGACAAACTTTGTACTATTTCTACTGCAAAATTATACCCCAAATCAACTAACTGGATCCTTGTGCTCAAACTTCTACTTACACAATATTTATGGTAAGTCTGTGTCTAGATTCCTACTGGGGTGCTGCCTTTTAAATTTTAGTCAATGTAACTTTTTCTCCCTCTGTCTCTAATATGAAGATTGAACCAACATTTTAGCCATTAAAGTTTATTGATGATTTTCTATACTGAATACTGCTCATCTACCTGAACATTCTCCTCTTGCCTTTGACTCAGACTTTTCCTAATAGGCTGTTCTGCTTTAGGGAGCTGTTGCTATGGTTTGGCCCTGTGTCCCCACCCAAATCTCAAGCTGAATTGTAATCCCCACGTGTTGAAGGAGGGGCCTGGTGGAAAGTGGTTTAATCATGCGGGCAAAGTTCCCCCTTGCTGTTCTTGTGATGGAATTCTCATGAAATCTGTTTGCTTAAAAGTGTGTAGCATTATCCTCTTCACTCTCTCTTCCTCCTGCTCAAGCCATGTAGCACGTATGGGCCTCCCCTTTGCCTTCCACCATGATTTTAAGTTTCCTGAGGCCTCCTCAAGCCATGATTCCTATACAGCCTGCAGAATCATGAGCTAATTAAACTTCTTTTTTTAAATAGACCTCCCAGGCTCAGGTAATTTGTTATAGCAATGTGAGAACAGACCAATAAAATTGCCTTATACCCAACCCCCAATAATTGCTGGTATTGATTTTCTCCTCTATGAAAGTACTTTCTGAATTTTTACATACTATTTGTTTAATATTCATGATAGGAAAAGCCTTATATTATTAATAGACTGAAACTCATAATAATCATTGCTATTATAAGCCACAAATCATAGTAGTAAATATTGATTCCCACTTTGTGGCAGCATCATGGTTCCAGAGGCACAATTATTCTGAGACAGAAAAAGGTTTGGTTAAATTTATTGATTTAAAATAAAAATCTCTATATAAAGCCAAACTTTCATTCTCAAAATCATTAACCAATTCTTGCAATAATGACTGCATTCTTTTATCATTAATATTCACTCAGTCATGGCATAATATACATTTGTTTCTATTAGAGCATGCACACAAAGTATAATAGTTTATTTCTTCTTTTTCACTTTATTTTCCTAACTGACAAATAAAGACATGGTAATATCACTTAAAATCTTTCTAAACAGTCACAGATGAAAAAGCTTGGAAATCATTTTTCAAATAAGAGATTTTTCTTTGTAACTACATTGTATTCAGGCCTTTTCATCAGTGCTTGTAGCAGAATACTTTCCTGCAATCTCCTATATATAATCATTGAGTCATCATTTATTAGACTCCATTTTGACCTGCAGCATTTGTTGGCAACACCCTTGATATGGACCTATCAAACTAGTGAGTTTAATAAAGCTATACAAAAAGGAAAAAAGCCATTAAGTATATACCCAAAGTAAAAACTTTAGAATCAGCTAGTGCAGGGCACAACAGCTGTAACCAGGTTACTTTAGGCCTGTAACTAACTGTGCTTTTCTTGTTAGTAAAATCAGAATAATACCTATCAGAATTGTTATGTGGATTAAATATAACAATGAAAAACTATTGTAAAATGAGTTATTACATTTTCTACAACATTTAGTGAGCTATTCAAGGCCATATCCTTGTGATTAGCTTCAAAATTGTGATCCTGACTTTTTATCAAGCACTTATATATATTTAAATATTATTTTGTAATAATTTATTTGGCCAATAATTAGTATTTGCCAATATCAGCTTTTTTGTTTTCACCTAAAAATGCTTTAATTTAATCTGATCCCTTCCTTATTAACCAAATCCTTCACTGTGCCCTGACCTCATACTGTAAGGTTTAATTCAGACTTAAGCCTAACTCATGCTACTTGGTTACTTTTCTCTATATGGATCTCAAGATTTCCAATTTCTTTACTCATCCTATCATCAGGTACATTAATCTAATTGTTATAAATTTTAAACCCAGTATGCTCACATACTTTTTTATGTTTTTTTTTTTGAGATGGAGTTTCACTCTTGTCGCCCAGGCTGGAGTGCAGTGGCAGGATCTCGGCTCACTGCAACCTCTGCCTCCCCGTTCAAGTGATTCTCCTGCCTCAGCCTCTGGAGTAGCTGGGGTTACAGGCATGCACTGCCATGCCCAGCTAATTTTTGTATTATTAGTAGAGACGGGCGGTTTTACCATGTTGACCAGATTGATCTCGAACTTCTGGCCTCAGGTGATCCACCTGCCTTGGCCTCCCATAGTGCTGGGATTACAGCCATGAGCCGGCCTATTCTCAGTACACCCGGCCTATTCTCAGTATTTTTAAGGAGAGGTGGTTTTTCCTCTCCTATAAATTTCATAAGGTGGGAAGATATACAGGTGGTTTCAGTTTTGGGTTATTGACTCAAATGAAAAATGTCCATTGCAAAGATCTATCTAAATCTATCTTATAGGAAAAAATTCTCAAAGCAAACAACTTCTCGTAATTTTGTGAGGTCCATGATTTTCCCTTCACTTCCAGTATCTTGGGGTTTCTCATTCAGTAGGAAATGTGGCAAACACTGATGGAGTCTTAAGAGAATTCCTTGAATTTCTTGAATATCTCATTGTGAGAGCCAATTAGGTTTCTTCAGCTACTAAGGAAAACATGTTACAGTCTTCTTTCTGTTCATTGCTCTAGGTATTTTCTCATGTGGCTAACGCTAGGGAAGGTTCAGTTTAGGAAACTTTTTATAAATCACTTCCCTGTATATGAAAGGGAGAGAACTAACCAAGAGTTCCCTTTAGGTGGTTGCTATAGCATGTAAGGGAATGAAATCAATACCTCTGACACTAGGGAAAAAAAAAAAGAAAACCAGATCAACAACAACAGCAACAAAACATATGCACTTAAATAGATTCAATATCATAAGAATGACAACAGCAGAGATCTTAAAAATTTAAAACAAGATTTTTAAACTAAAAATATTAGACATTACCAAGAACTCTATTTGTGATTTAAAGTTCAAATGGAGAAAATATCACACACCTTACAGAAAAACAAAAAGTACAATGGGAAATAAAAACCAGTATCATCATTAAATATGTTACATATGAGTTCTAAATTTCTTTTCAAAGAATCAATATGTTAGTATGTTCAGTTATTTGCCTTCTACTTTTAAACTTAACTTCCTTGTAAAGCAACCTTTTTCGATTACCTGCTCCACCCTGACTCATTCCAATTACCTGCTCTGTCATAACCATTTTTTCCGCTAAACCACTCACCCCCTCAGTCTCTTTAAATTAGCCAATCAGAATTAGTTTAGCCTGTGCGGTCTTAACCTAGCCAATAGGGGAATGACACAGCAGCAGGGACCATGTGCAGCAGGAATAAGAACCCCTTCCCCTCCCTTGCCCAAGTGTGCGCTCACCATTGCTCCATCCGTAAGGGTGCACCCTTCTATAGAAGTAACTTGCCTTGCTGAGAATTAAAAATAAAATTTTATATTCGAGACTATTTCTTTTGCAGCACCGAAACTTTATTTACAACAATTTGGGGGCTTGCCTGTGATTACATTCCCCTCCGGGGACAGTCTCTGGTTCTCTCTCGTGAGGCGGAGTGCCCCGCCCCCTTGTGGCGGCCTCAGGGGTGAGAAATCAGGACCCACCCAGCGCAAGGAATAGCCCCAGCTCTCAGCAACACGGCAATAAACTGGCCAGCAACCTAGCTTAAAGGATTCTCACATACTGTGGCAATGGCTCTGTGCGCAGACCAAGGAAGGAGAAGCCGCGGGAGCTGGTAAAGTATTTCTTTGGTGGTCGGGACTAAGGACAAAGCTTCGGGGCGGTAAAGCCTTCCTTGGTTAGGACATACCAAGGAGAGAGAAACTGCAGGGGCGGTAAAGCATTCCTTAGGCTGGACTAGGGAAAGAAAGCCATGGGGGCGGTGAAGTATTCCTTAGTCGGGATGTCTTGGAGGTTAAAAAGAGGTGAGAAATCCCCATGAGGGGAGGGTGAACCTCAGAAAGACGTGAGAAATCCCCAAGAGTGGGGGTTGAACCTCAAAAAGAGATGAGAAATCCCCATGCGGGGGGCGGGGAGGGGGGTTGAATCTGAAAAAGAGGTGAGCAGTCCCCATGAGAAGGGTTGAACCTCAAAAAGAGGTGAGAAATCCCCTTTGGGGGGTTGAACCTCACACAAACCTCCAGTAGTAAGAAAAATATTCAGAACTCCTCCTTCCTTTCTTGTCGGGGGAGGAAGGAGTAGCTCCACTCCCACCAGTTCCTCCTCTAGGGAAGGGAAAGGAGAGGGGAGCACAGCAGCAAAGCGGCTGGCAGAGGCAGGGAAAGAGCAGCAGAGAGGATATAGAGAAGAGAGAGAGGGGAAAGAGAGAGAGAGAAAGAGATGCAGAGAGAGGAAGAGACAGACAAAGAGGAAGGCAAAGAGAGCGAGAAAGAGACAAAGTCAAAGAGAGAAAGAGAGAGCTAGAAGTAGTAAAGAGAAAACAGTGTACCCTACTCCTTTAAAAGACAGGGTAAATTTAAAACCTATAATTGATAATTGAAGGTCTTCTCCATGACCCTATAACACTCCAATACTACCTTGTCAGTGTAAACAAGGGCGTAGCCCAAAGGCACTGAGGCCACTGACAACCTCCAGCCTTCCTATCAAAAATCCCTGGCCAGGTGCGGTGGTTCATGCCTGTAATCCCAGCACTTTGGGAGGCTGAGGTGGGCGGATCACAAGGTCAGGAAATCTAGACCATCCTGGTTGACACGGTGAAACCACATCTCTACTAAAAATACAAAAAATTAGCCGGGCGTGGTGGTGGGCGCCTGTAGTCCCAGCTACTCGGGAGGCTGAGGCAGGAGAATGGCATGAACCCGGGAGGGGGAGCTTGAAGTGTGCTGAGATCACCCCATTGCACTTCAGCCTGGGTGACAGAGCAAGACTCCATCTCTAAATAAATAAATAAATAAATAAAAATCCTTAACCCAGTAACTCACGGATGCCCCATATGCATTCAATCTGTAGGGGCAATTGCTTTGCTAGCAGAAGAAAGTAGAAAAATAACTTCTAGAGGAAGCCTCATTGTGAGCACACCTCACCAGTTCAGAACTATCCTAAGTCAAAAAAAAAAAAAAAAAAAAAAAGCAAAAGAGTAGCTTACTCAAAAATCTTAAAGTATGGGGCTATTCTGTTAGAAAAAGATGATTTAACATTAACCACTGATAATTCCCTTAACCCAGCAGATTTCTTAACAGGAGATCTAAATCTTAATTAATTACCGTACAAAGGTCTGACCAGACCTAGGAGGAACTCCCTTCAGGACAGGATGATAGATGGTTCCTCCGGGGTGATTGAGGGAAGAAGACACAATGGGTATTCAGTAATTGATAGGGTAACTCTTGTAGAAGCGGAGTTAGGAAAATTGCCTAATAATTGGTCTGCTCAAATGTGTGAGCTGTTTGCACTCAGCCAAGCATTAAAGTACTTACAGAACCAGGAAGGAACCATCTATACCAATTCTAAGTTAATTTGGACTAAACAAGATCTTATTAATAGCAAAGGATAATTGAAATCCCAGACTTACAAGGTTTTCAACAAAAGTAAAGTTTGCTAAAAGTTAACAGTGTAACTTGTATTATACTATTTTCTAATCTTGTGGCCTTAGGCAATTGAATCCACAGACATGAAGGAAGTTCACTTTGGAGAAAACTAAAAAAAAAAAAAAAAAAAAAAGGAGGGGAAGAATTTATATAAAAAGAATGTTATATGGTAAATTCTTGTCCTAAAATAAATTAACTGGTTGTTTAAGGAAAGGGATGTTTGCAACAAGTCAGAAGTTTGAGGCATGTCAAAGATTGTGAAAGTCGTGAAAAAAAAGTTATAAAAGGGAATTTATGCAAGAAATGTGTATCATTTAGAAGTAATTAGTCCTCCTGAATGTAAAACTATTGAAGAAACAGTTTATGTGCAAGGTGTGTAAGGAAAGTAAAATATACTTTTGGTAAAAGGGTTTTAAAGAGGCATAAAAATTTGAATTTTTACCTACATTAAAAGGTTAAAATATTTGTTTTAAAGGCTTAAGCAAGTTTTAAAATGGGAATTCTGTGTGTAAACATATTGGCTAATGTTAAAGGGGTATCATCCAGTTTTTCTGTGAACTGGACATTACAACAAAAGCACAATGGGTTTCTTAATGCACTAACCTGCTCTTTAACAAAAATTATAAAAGGTTAAAAAGAGTCTATAAAAATCTTACCTTATGCTCAGACGTTAAAGTTGGATAAATATGTCTACAAGGTTTTATTAAAATTGAGTTAAACGTTAATAGCACACTAATACAAAGGTGAAATTTAGCTTATCTGATATAAAAATCATACAAAAAGCATTGTCAAATATAAAATGGTGTTTGGCTTTCTTTGGTCTAAAAACTAATAAAAATAGATGCTAAAGGAAATTTCTCAGTAAGAAGGCACCAAGGACTATAAAGTCCACTGTTGATGTCCCCACATTTAAGACAAAAGAAAAGTTTCTTAGAAATTATATACTTGGTTTATCTTCCACTTTCCTTTCCCTTAAAACTAAAAGTCTTTAGCACAGGTAAGGTACCACCCCTAGAATTTCTGGTAAACCAGCACCAGCCTGAGGATCACATTCTCATCAAAGGGTGGAAAGAAGGAAAACTGGAGCCAGCCTGGGAAGGACCCTGCCTTGTGCTGCTAACCACCGAGACTGCTGTTCCTACAGTGAAAAGGGGATGGACTCATCACACCCGAGTCAAGAAAGCGCCACCCCCTCTGGAGTTGTGGGCCATAGTCCCAGGGGAAAACCTTATCAAACTAAAGGTAAGAAAAATTTAACTCTCTTTCATCTATTTTATTACTCTTCTTTCCTCGCTCTGTTGCTTACCATCTAGTTATTAACATAACCAAGTCAATTTTGCCTCAAATTGTTTGTATTTAATGCTTGCCTTGTTATACCCTGTGGGGATTTGCCAAGTCAATGACAGCTCTCTACTTCAGAAAAGTACCACTGTCCATCCTGACTCTCCTCAGACTGGGCATTAGTGAATTGGGACCATTTAATCCGGGGAGATTTTGGTAAAGACCCCAATGTCAACCAGGAGTCTTGCTCCCCTATGTAGAGCTTTTATGCTGTAGTTTGTCCAACGTTGTGTGGACCACTAAAGAGCAAGGATGGACTGTCCCAACTGGTTTTTGTAATCTCCTAAAAGCATACATTCATTTTACTAAAGGGACAGCCCTCTTCCCCCGCCCCCACCCCCCACAACTGTCAGCTAGACCAGTGCAATCCTATACAGGTTATTATCTCAAACCCTCAAAGTTCTTCCCCTTTTCCAAGCCAGTTCCCTTCTTTAAGCTGATTTTATGGTATGGGGGCTAAGGTTTCAGGGACAGACCCTATTGGATTCTTTGAAATGCATTTATTTGATCCCACACCACCTGCACCTTCCTCTAAGCCTTCTTCTAAAACCTCTCACAACAGAACAATTGCTCCTCTTCCATCTAACGACAAGACCAAGATAGCTATTGTAGAAGTTAAAGATTTAAAACAAACTTTGGCTATTAAGACAGGATACCAAGATGCAAATGCCTGGTTGGAATGGATCAAATATTCCATCCGCACGTTAAACAAAGCAATTGTTATGCTTGTGCGCACAACAGGCCAGAGGCCCAGATTGTCCCCTTTCCACTAGGGTGGTCCTCCAGTTGACCAGCATGGGCTGTAATGGTAGCTCTTTTCCAGGATTCTAAAGCCTGGAGTAACAAGTCGTGTCATACTCTCTCTCTGCTATATCCCGAAGTCCGTCACCCTGTGGGTCAGCCCCCAAGAGCCATCCAGCTTTCGTCTCCCAACACTAAGTTCACTTCGTGTCTCTCACAACAGGGAAGAAACTTAGCATTCCTTGGAGACCTGAAGGGATGCAGTGAGCTTAAGAATTTTCAAGAACTTATCAATCAGTCAGCCATTGTTCATCCCCAGGCAGATGTGTGGTGGTATTGTTGTGGACCTTTACTGGACACTCTGCCTGCCGAGTAACTAAAGTAGCACTTATGCTTTAATCCAATTGGCTATCCCTTTCACCCTAGCATTTCATCAACCAGAAAAAGAAAAGTAAGACATCATAAAGCGAGAGAAGCCCCTTATGGGCCTTTTGACTCTCACGTCTATTTAAACACAACTGGAGTCCCACGGGGAATGCTAGATCAATTTAAAGCCCAAAATCAAATAGCTGCAGGATTTCAGTCAATATTTTGGTGGGTGACAATTAATAAAAATGTAGGTTGGGTAAAGTACAGCTACTACAACCAACAGCGATTTATTAACTACACTAGAGATGTTGTTAAAGGAAGTGCTGAGCAATTAGGGGCTACTAGCCAGATGGCTTGGGAAAATAGGACAGCCTTAGACATGATATTAGCAAAAAGAGGAGGAGTTTGCATCATGATTAAAACTCAATGTTGTACCTTCATCCCAACAATACCGCTCCTGATGGAAGTATAACAAAGGCATTGCAGGGTCTGACTGCTCTGTCCAATGAGTTAGCCAACAACTCAGTGGTAAATGACCCCTTTACAGAATGGCTAGAAAAGTGGTTCAGTAAGTGGAAAAGGATAATAGCCTCAGTTCTTGCTTCCCTCACAGCTGTAATGGGTGTACTTATTCTTGTCAGGTTCTGTGTCACACTGTGCATCCGTGGGTTGGTGCAGAGGCTCATAAAAACGGCACTTACTAAAACCTCCCTTAACTATCTTCCACCTTAACCAGAGAAGCTGCTTCTTTTGGAAAATCAAGCAGAACAACTAAGCCAAGACATGTTAAAAAGTTTGAAAAGAAAGAGCTGTAAGGCAGTGCAAGAAGAGGGGTTGTTAGATATGAGTTCTAAATTTCTTTTCAAATAATCAATATGTCAGTATGTCCAATTCTTTGCCTACTACTTTTAAACTTAACTTCCTCATAAAGCAACCTTTTTCTACTGCCTGCTCCACCCTGACTCATTCCGATTACCTACTCCACCTGACTCATTCTGATTACCTGCTCTGTCAAAACCATTTTTCCCACCAAACCACTCACCCCATCACTCTCTTTAAATTAGCCAATCAGAATTAGTTTAGCCTGTGCAGTCTAACCCTAGCCAATAGGGGAATGAGACAGCAGCAGGGGCCACTTGTGTCAGGGGTACGAACTCCTTCCCCTCCCTTATCCAAGTGTGCACTCACCATTGCTCCTTCTGTAAGGGTGCACCCTTCTATAGAAGTAACTTGCCTTGCTGAGAATTAAAAAGAAAATTTTATGTTCGAGTGCTATTTCTTTTGAGGCACTGAAACTTTGTTTATAACAAATATATAAGAGATATGGAAGATTGTAGCACATGACAAATAATAAATGTTGGAGAAATTATGACATAAATGATGAGACCTAAAATGCAAAGTGTTACTGATTTTGAAGATAATTATTTTACAAAGATGATATGTTTGTAATTAAAAAAAAATAATGGTTGGGAGCAGTGGCTCACATCTGTAATCCCAGCACTTTGGGAGGCCAAGGCAGGTGAATCACGACATCAGGAGTTCAAGACCAGCTTGGCCAACATGGTGAAACCCCGTCTCTACTAAAAATACAAAAATTAGCTGGACTTGGTGGTGGGTGCCTGTAATCCCAGCTTCTTGGGAGGCTGAGGCAGGAGAATCCCCTGAACCTGGGAGGCGAAGGTTGCAGTGAGCCAAGATCACGCCACTGCACTCCAGCCTGGGTGACAGAGCGAGACTCCATCTCAATATAAAATAATAATAATAACAAAAAACTATAACCTTAAGTTGAATTTTTATAGTAGTTTTTAAATGAAAGGTACTCATTAAGTCTGTGGCAATATTTAAAAAAACAGATATATAGTACTAAAATTCCTGAATTTCAAGAATAAATAAAAATAGTCATATGTATTTACACAGGAAAATGATTATATAAAAATGAAAGAAGATCTCATAACTTTCTTAAGTACTTTAATGGGAGTTACATGACAGTTGAAATAAATTGACATTTGAGACAAAAGTCCTATACCCTCACAAAATTTACCATTAACGTGTTTAAAAGAAAATTTTTTCTTTCTATGGATTTGTCTCTTTCTATAGAATTTTCTGTATCTACTGATATATATATACATACATATATATATCAGATGTTAAATAATAGTTATATTCATATATATACAGGAGTTGTAGTTGAAGAGATAATATATATACACATATATGTGTATATATATCAGAGGTTAAAGAATAGTAATTATACTTATGATTAAAACAAAAGAAATATTTTTATTTCAACATCACTTTGGGTCAGAGACATGATGATGAAATATAATTTATTTGTTTTAATCATACACTCTGGGGTACTATTGATAGTCATCAGACATTCTCATAAGATATTTGATATGTACTAGAAGCTAGTCTTATTGAGTCACAAAAGAATTTAAAATATACACTTTTTAGAGATGAGGACATGTGAGTCCCTCCTTTCCTAACTAAAAGGAGAGAAAGCAGGGATTTGGGGACTTATGTGCAATTGCTGAGAATATGATTCTTTAGGCGTGTAATAAAACAGAAATACTCTGTTTAAGCCAGTGAAGTTATGAACATAAAGATAATGATATAACAGTGTTAATATAACTTCTGTCCCCTCTGGCAATGCTGTTGATTAATGATTGTTTGTAAAATCATTAACAGGTATGCTGAACTGGAAAAAATCCATTATTGTTTTTACATGTACAAAGTAAAAATGAGACCTAGAATAAATGTCTTAAAGTCATGTTTGTAAAAAATAAGGCATAATAAAACCACAGCTTTTTAATGACATGTTTTAGTGGAATTTTTTTCTACTTCTATATTTTTGTCTACCATGAAGGGTTTATTGATGTTCTGTTTGAGGTTATAACTCAATTCAACCAAATAAGGTCAGGGTCTCTGTTCAATTTCTGTACACTAATTAGTTAATGAGCATCACTTGCATTGTTAGAAGCTTTCTTTAAAAGTACCATGCTTGAAGAGACCGGAGGCAAAATTCTCCCATTAGATATCCATCTGTAACCATCACTAATTTGAATTGAAGTTTCTACATAAATAGCCTGGGGTAGAATTTAGATCTAGAAAACAAGATCTGGGAAAAGTCAGTAAATGTTTTATTTTTCTAATTCATTACTTTTGTAATTAATTTAACAATATCTACTTACAACATGTTTTCCAAAATGTTAATTGATTATTACAAAAGATAAATAATCTTACATTTTTGTTTTTGGATTATTCTCATATGTTTAGAAATAAACTTTACCTAAAGTGAATTGAAGAGTGAAAAAGAAGATGTTAAATGTACTTAATGGTTTCAAAATTGTAGTAATAAAGTCTTTCTTGTGATACACTGAAAGCAATTTCACACACATTGACTCCGATTCAGGATATGACAAGTACCTTTCTATATAAAGCGTTAAGCCACATAAGGGATTGAAATCAACTTGTTCAGATCCCTGGGGCACTTAACTGACCTAACTGATAATTAAAGATTGAGTAGGTTTTAGTTGAAAACAATAACTAATGTTATAAAATCAGAGGACTGCTGCTGCATTTTGCTTCTGTCGCATGTAAAATTAGCATTTTTCTCTATAATATTTTTAACTGGAATTGTGGCATGTATTATTCTTTGATCATTCCATTGTTAATATTTTTTGTGTTGTTTTACCTGAGGTTTATTGAGGGGTATAAGGATAAGAAATTTAGAAAAAGTACACGCGGTGAAGCTGTTACATTTCAGTATGGTATGTGCCCTTACACCATAATTTGGATAGTATTATTCAATTATCTTTTATTATGTTTTTATTAAGAAACATAAAATAATGGTGATGTTATTATTATTTTGCTTTGGAAACAGTAATATTAGATAGAGATACTTGGATGCGTTTCCAAATATGGGAGTCAATCCTTATCTTTTTGCAATACATTTTAAGCCAAACTGAAGTGGGAAAAGTTCCCTTATCCCCCTCACAGGGCTTGTGACAGGGACGTGAAATGACTGGCTTATTTGGTGCCCTGCTACTCAAACCCCTAGGGGGAGCATGCAGAGGAGCAGGTCATGGGGCTCCGACCCCGTGTCAGCCTCTAGGGTTGAGTGTTTGCAGCTTCAGAAGCCCCAGTGGGCATGTGTTACAGTGTGCTCTTTCTGTTTTGCTGTCTGCAGGCAGCTTGTGTTAATCAGCTCAATTAGACCCTCTGCCTTATCCCAAGGACAGAGGGCTTTCTGTATCCCGGGTTCTTGCTGTGGTGTACCAGAAAAATCAGATCACACGTGGGCTTGGAGGATGGGTGCAAGGTTTTATTGAGCGGAGGTAGCTTTCAGTGAGGTGGATGGGGAGGCCAGAAGGGGGATGGAGTGAGGAGGTGATCTTCCCCTGGAGTCGGGCCCCCCAGCATCCGGACTCTCCTCCAACTGAATTCCCCTTGGCATCCGTGACATTCCGCTGTGGATGGCCTGCCTGTGTCTGTCGGTGTGCTCTTCTGCTGGTGTGTTCCTCTAGACGTCCAGACGCTTGTGTGTGTGTCTGCTTAAGGTCTCGGGTTTAGATGGGCACGAGATGGTGGGTGTGGTGGGCCAGAAGGCAACTTTTTGGGTGTGAAAACAGAAATGGTTTAATTCACTTAGGTCTGTGGGCACAGGCCCGAGGGTGGAGTCCCCTTCAGGGACCCCGCCCTTCTCTACCCAGCACATCCCTACCCTGCTCCCATATCAAAATGTTCTTTATAGTAGTTAAAATAAATATATGCGTTTTTTTTAATTTTAGCATTTCACAAAAATTTTAAAAATATTGTTTTTTTAAAATTATGTATGTTTTATTTCTTCACTCTTTCTTGAGGTATAATTGACAAATAAATTGATTTCTTAGTTTGATGTAGTCTGTCTTGTTTATTTTTGCTTCTGTTGTCTATGCTTTTGGTCTCAATAAAAAATAAAATATGCAAAAGTGATGGTTTGATATACATAGACATTGTGAAATTAATACCACAACCAAGCAATTTAGCACATCCATCACCTCACATAGTTGCCATATTTTTTATTTTGTGTGGCAAGAACATTTAAGATCCACTTTATTAGCAAATTTCAAGTGTACAATATGGTATTAACTTTAGTCTTCATGCTGTACATTAGATCCTCAGAACTTATCCATATTATAACTGAAAGTTTGTACCCTTTGACTAACATTTCCTCATTTCTTACATCTCTGACAACTGGCAAACACTGTTCTACTCTGTTTTTATGAGTTTGACTTTTTTTAGCTTCCACACGTATTATCGTGTAGCATTTGTCATCCTCTCTCACTTCTCTTACCATAATACTCTGAAGTTTCATTCATGTTTTTTAAAATGGCAGGATCTCCTCCTTCCTTAAGTCTGAATAATATTTTATTGAATGTACATGCCACATTTTCTTTATCCATTCATCCCTCATTGGGTACCTACATTGTTTCCATGTCTTGGCTGTTTTGAATAGAGCTGCAATGGGAATGCAGCTATGTCTTGACATACTCATATCATTTTCTTTGGATATATATCTAGAAGTAGGATTGTTGGATCATGTGGTAGTTCCATTGTTTTTTTTTTTTTTGAGGAACTTTCATGCTGTTTTCCATCATAACTGTACCAGTTTACATTCCCACCAACAGTGCATAAATGTTCCCTTTATTTCACATTCTTGCCGGAAGTTTTTATCTCTTATCTTTTTGGATAATACCCAACCTAGTAGGTGTGAGATTATATCTCATTATGGTTTTGATTTGCTCTTCCCTGATGATTAGTTCAGCAACTTTCCATGTACCTGTTGGCAATTTTAATGATTTTTTTTAAGAAAAAATGTCTATTCAGATTCTTTGCCTTTAAAAAATATGATTATTATTTTTTGCTATTGAGTTGTATGTGTTCCTGATGTATTTTGGATATTTACCACTTATCAGATATATGGTTTGCAAATATTGTCTCCCAGCCCATAGGATGTCTTTTCATTTGGTTGATTGTTTCCTTTGCTATACAGCTTTTTTTCCTCTGTCTCTTTTTTGAATTGACACACAGTAAATGTACATATTTATTGGATATAATGTAATGTTTTACTTCTTAGTTTGTTGTAGTCTCTCATTTATTTTTGCTTTTGTTGTCTATGCTTTTGGTCTCAGTGAAAAAAAATATTGTTAAGACCAACGTTCAGGAGTATTTTCCCTACATTTTTTTCTCGTAGTTATAGTTTCAGGACTTACTTTAGGTCTTTAATTCATTTCAGGTTAATTTTTTTGAGTGGTTTCAGATGGGGTTAACATTTCATTCTTTTGCATGTGAACATACAGTTTTTCTCAGCATTATTTATTATTTATTTTTATTACTCTTGTTATACACCATTTGATCACATATGTTCATGTTTATGGGCTCTTGATTCAGCTCCACTGGTCTATGTGTATGACTTTTTGCCATTGCCATAGTATTTCCATTGTTATACTTTTGTAAAACCATTCATGCTACCCTTCTAATGGGATTTTCATGGGTTTTTGGTCCCAGGGTATGAATAAACCTCACCCCTGAATTCTGGGATTTTCACCTAGACATTCTTGTCTGTGGAAAATTGCTAGTTGATTTTTTCTGTGAGGGTTACTAATGCCAGAGACCTTCTATTCTACCATCTTGCTTATGTGATTCTTGTGGAAGCTTTTCATTAATGATACTTTGAGCTCTTTAATGTAAGCTAAAAAAAGCAAGAGAATAGAAAGATATTTCTTTGCAATGGTATCATGTTTGAGTTCATATTCACAGCTTTGTTAATTTGATAGGCACAATAACATTGCAAGAAAATCAAGTACAAACATGAAGTATTACCAAAGTTACCAATAACAGTACCATAATGCTAAACTCTGTTGTTCATTATTGTGATTCTAATTCTTCTCTCCTATGACAAGCATTATAATGAGAAGAAAAAAATGCACAAAATTAACTTATTCTGAAGACAAAGATAATAATGAGGCTAGATGAGAGCATACAATTAACATTTCTAACTTTGTCATTGTGTAGGTTATGCAGTTTCTATAATTGATGACTTTATAAAATAAGATATTTTAACAGTATTTTTATTGTGATGTAATTCAACAACAGAGGACTTAGATGAGATAAAGAATTGGTGTCTCTGGTGTTGTATATTTCAGGTACAATTCTTACTTTGTTCCACAGAATTAAGACACTCTCTTTGCAATGCAATAAGATATTTACATATGTATCATATCCAAGATATAAATTTTAACTTCAATATGGGCTGTTGAATATATCTGAACTCAAAAAATGTTTATATACTTCAAAATGTTTAGTTCAATGAGGAAAGATATTTTTAGACCTTTCTATTTACATAAAACCAAAATTATCTTAAAATATATATGTAAATAACTAAGAATATTAATAGATAACAATTTTAAGGCATTAAACATTGTTCTAAATGCTCATTTAATTCTGAAAGCCAATCTATGTGATGAGTTATTTTTCTTTGCTTAGTTACAAAAAGGTACTGAACCAGGCCCCACAGCTATCATGTGACAGAGTCAGGATTCATAACTAGAATTTAGGGTCCCAGAGCCCATTTGCTCAATCAATCTACACTGCTAGGCAACATGTTCTCATCTTCATGGTCTTTTATCATGGACTTTATTATCTGTTGAGATCTATAATGACCACAGTAGTAGGTTTCTAAATTATCTACTGCTATTTTATTTATAGTATTAAGGTAAACTATGATGACCATAGAGTGAAATATCTGTTACTACATTTTCATAAAAGAACGGATGTCACAAATATTTAGATTTTCCTCTAATTCCTTCCATTTGCCTTAGAAATATTCACAAGAATTAATGAATATTTCTCTACCTTTCAAGCCTAATTGACAAAATGCAATTCTAAGCCATTATAGATTCTGTAACATATTGCTAATAATTTATTTATTCCACCAGCATGAGTTTATTTTTTATATAATGACTCATAGCAGTTGTCACTGCTAATATTTGAGCAAGGTGTAGTTGGAAACAAAAATTACAAGGTTGAGTTATAAAAGTTTATTTTAAAAGCAATGCACTAACTCATCTGAAATTTTTTGGAATAGAATGCTAAAAGTATTCTCTAACCACACAGATGATGTCACTGTGTTTTTGTAAAGATAGATTCTTTCCATATATTTTTTATAAATTTATGAGCTGTATTGTCTTTCCAATTAGATGTGTGTGCATATATTTAATAATATTATTTAATAAATATTTTTAGAACTACATATATTTTATCTAATGTATATACACAAATGTTTTCTACCAGATCCTAAGGTTATAGATTTGGATTTTATATGATTAAAGTCAGAATGTGTATTTAAATCAAACTTTGATTAAGGTGTAAATATATCTCCTTTAAATTATTTTTGCTTCTAATTGGAAAGATACAATGCTAAGCAACTTAGACTTTGTTTTAAACGTTTCAAGGGATGTCACTTGTTTCATCGTCTAATGGCAGCAGAGCTTCACATAAATTAAGCATGATTATAATGTTGTGATTAAGAACACAGGATATTACTACAAACTATGTGAACGACAATAATGGTAATTTATGTAAAGTTATGCCTCAGTTTCTTCATGTCTAAAATGTTGATAATAATACCTACCTAATATGTTTGTTGTAACTATACATAAATTATTTATGCAAAGCACTTAAGGCAGAATCTAGCGTACAAAACTTTAGCTATTAAGATTCTGCCTGAGCTTTTAGATTCTTTGTACTATTGTGGCCTCATTAGGATTATACTTTCACCAAATGAGTTGACGCATGAAAATTTGTGCATATTATCTACAATTTTTCATCTCTAGGCCTGGAGAGAATCAAACTGAATAATACAATACATAGGGCAATAATTTTGAAGTCTAAATCTTCATTTTATGAGAAAGAACAGACATTTATTAAAATTAAAAATGTATCTTATTACATAAAAGTATTGTGGAAGTCACATTTTAATTTCTTTTTGTGGTATTTGTAATTTCTAATTACTGAAAAATATTACATGGATATTTCTAGAAATTGCAGAATCAATTGCCTATATTTTCATAATGTGCCTGTGATTTCCCTTCATTAATTTTGTAGACAGGAACTCTGGGATCCTCTTACCATATTTCACCAAGTACATCGACTCTGTCACTTTTGAGATGACTGTGGTGATCCTCATGCCAGTTCGACTTAGGTCTCTCATATGCATCCTTTAGTGTAATACATCAATGATAGAAAAAAATGATGCAAATTCTGAAAATTAATTTTTTAGCCCTCAAATAAAACGGGCATTAGAATGCCTTAAAGTTGGCTAAAATGGTAAAATTTTGACATATCAAAGTAATATTTATTGATATTGAATTCATAGCAAGAATGTACAGTGATTACATCCTGTTTAAAATTATTGACATTGTTTTAGTTTATGTAGTCATAATTGTTAATATGGTGAAACTTTGTGTTTTCATGTTTTAATTTTTATATTCTGGAATTTTTTTAAAAATTAAGAAAAACTCATTATTCATTATTTAGGTTAATTTATTATATACACTTATGAGTAAAAGTTTTTATCAAGAAATTTTAACAAGCAAGTGATAGGCAAATACATCTTCTGTAAAATATTTTTTTATTTCTTACACACTTGAAAATATGGAATTGTACTAAACAGTTACCATTTTCAAGTTTAAAGTCAGGTTTTAAGACAAGTTAATTCTCTATAGAGAGTGAATAGAAAAAATAACATTTGAAAAAAGCAAATATCAGAAACTGGATAAAAGGATTAAGAATAAATCAGGTTGTATATGAGTTGGAAAATATTATTTTTCTGAAATACATGATGCTATTTTATAATTAAGTCCTCAGGATTTTACTTTTATTGTGTGGTGGAAGTAGTTCTTTAAAAATAAATATACTCAAGGTAGTTTATTAGCTATCTAATTAAATATATTGACTGTCATTGACAGAAATACTCTGGGATTCTTAACCTGCCAGTAGGCATGTAATTTACTAGTATTTCACCATTAAAAAAAACAAAAAACAAAACAAAGAAAAGCCTCACATACCCTATAGTCCAGCTAATACTGTTTGTCTCAATAAAATATTGATAGTTTCTGTAATTTCATCATAGCTGAAGTATTTTTAATGAAAATACCAAATATGTTATGAAAAATAAAAACATTGACTAGCAATCACAGATAATAAATTCATTATTCATGTATCATTTATTTAACAAAATGCATTATACTATCACCATGAACTTTACTAATTTGGTCAGTGCTTGAAAATATAAAAATAAACCAAACATATCCTCGTATCTATATTATGATCAAATAAGTCAGAGTTCTACAAATAATTACAACAAAATAGTAAAAGCTAGAACTTGTATATTGTAAGTGTCCTGGAAGCTCTGTTTAACAAATATGAGCGCCAACTGAATGCCATGATATATAAATGGATGTTTATTAATTTATTAAATATCTCCCTGTCTGCTTCTCTAACTCTAGATGTAGGCACAGATATATTAGGTATTGAGTGATAGATTATATAAAATATGACAGTTTAAAGATATTATGTTCTTTAACATTTTTTCATGTTTTCCTAATTTGATGATGTCCACATTCTTTATCTAGTTAGCTCTCACTTATGTAAATTGAAATAGACTTATTTTATTCTTTTGTTGCGCTAACAGACTTGCAGCTACAACAACAAAAAAGGAAATGTGCATAAATAGAGATGAACAATAAGTGTGTTGCTGGTGAAACTCTCAGAAACCGATATTATATTGGATTTTCTATTAACCTGTTGAAAAAAGGGAAGTAAGCAGGATTGGGCAGTAGAAGCAGCAGAAATAGAAACAGGTTTGAAAAGAAGACATAGGTTTACTTTGAGATTATTAAGAAGAGAGATAGCCAAGAAGAGCCCTTTCATAATCAGAAACAACACTGGGGTTTGAAAAGACTATCTACCTATGTACTTACTCAAGAGCAATCTGAGCAGGATATGGATATACTTAAAAACAGTCCCTTAGCTGCCCACAGATCCATCAACAAAGGGTAGAAGACCCACTAGCACTAGGGGTTTAAGCACAACATGACCAAATGGTGAACAGTAAGATACTCTGACCCAGGGGCAACTCCTAGGAAGCCTGACTTAAAAATTGCACACATCCCTGAAGCCTGGAAGCCTGTGTAAATGACGAAGGCTGAATCCTCCCCTGGGGAGTATCAGAGAGGAAATCAGAGAAGACAAATTCACTCTACGGGTCTTGTGATTATTAATTTTAGGTGTCAATTTGTCTGGATTAAGGGATATCTAAATAACATTATTTCTAGGTTTGTCTGTCAGGGTGTTTTCAGAGGAGATTGGCATATGAGAATCTGAGTCAGTGGACTGAGTGGGGAAGACCCACCATCAATGGGGTTAGGGGAGAACTATTTAATTGGTGGGAATAAAAAATAAAGGCAGAGAAAAGGTGAATTTGCACTCTCTCTTGGAACGGGGACATCCTTCTTCTGCCTTTGGCTATTAGAACTCTGAGGTCTCTGGCCTTGGATTCTGAAACTTGTACTAACAGATTGCCATGGTTCTCAGGTGTTTGGCCCCATACTGATAATTACAGCATCAGCTTTCCTGGTTCTCAGGCTTTCGGGCTTGTACTGAACCATGCTACAGGCTTCCCTGGGCTTCCATCTTGCCAACAGCCTATCTTGGGATTTCACAATCTACATAATTTTATGAGCCAATTCTCTTAATAAATCTCTTCTAATCTATGTATCTATCGATCCATCCACGTATCTATCCTGTAGGTTTTGTGTCTCTGAAGAGCCTAGAAAAACAAAATTCGCTTGCTAAAAATAGAGAGAAAATAAAATACTTCCTGAACTGCATTGGCAGCCTCCAAACTATCACACATCCAATGGAAAAGTGTCAAAATCTAACTTTTTAAGGGAGCTAAAGCATGACAATCATTGACTAGTAGGTGGTTTATGCTGTTCCAGGGCTAAAACCCCAAAATATAGAAAAGAAATCTAAGAAAGAGCAATGGAGGGTTTATACTGTGGAAGAACTTGATTTTAGAGGGTTTCTTCCACCAAGTCACTGAACAAATAAAAATGACCAGGCAGTAAAGCCAGCAATATCAACCCTGCAGAAAAGGGGATAAAGGGAATCATTCAGAGTTGTGAAATATGTAAAACATTCAATTTTCAAGAAGAAAATATCAGACATGTTAACAAAAAAAAGTAAAGTAGGACCTACACATGGGAAAGATGAAGGCCATAGACACTGCTTATTAAGTGGGGCAGATATTGAATTTAGCAGATAAAAACTCCAAAGGCTTAAAGAAATAGAAAGTTGCCCCATGTTCAGGGATCAGAATAGTTAATATTTTTAAGATAGTAATAATCCTCAAATTAACCTATGCATTTAATAAAATCACCATCAAAATCCTGGATGACTTGTATTTTTTTTTTTTTACAGAAATGGACAAATTGATTCTAAAACTCTCACAGAAATACAGTTGTCCAGAATAGTCAGGGCAATCTTTCTAATTTCATACCTTAATACAAAGCTACCTTATTCTGTCAGTGTGGTACTGTTACAAGTAGAGGCATATAGACCAATGGAACAGAATCAAGAGGTCAGAAATAAACCCTTACATTTATGATCAATTTATTTTTGACAAAGATGCCAATAAAACTCAATGGGGAAAAATTGAATTTTCAACAAATGATGGTGGCACAACTGAAAAACCAAATGCTAAAGAATAAGGTTTAAACTATCTCACCAAAGTCACAAAATTTAATTTTTTAAAAAAACAATTTAATTCAAAATCTATCACAAAACTAGATGTAATATCTAAGAAACTATACAACTATTGGAAGATAACACGGGAATAAACTTTTGTGACCTTGAGTTAAGTAATGTTTTCTCAGATATGACACCTAAAGAACAGGTAACAAATTCCTTTTTAAAAAGGACTTCATCAAAATCAACAATGTTTTACTATAAATGGTACCAGACAACCCAATTGTCCTTAAGCTGATGATTGTATAAACACAATATATCATATACACACAATGGAATATTATTCCACAGTTAAAAAGGATGAAATACTGATATGTACTACATCATAGATGAATCTTGAAAACATTATGCTAAGGGAAAGAATTCAGTCAGAAAAGGCTACATTCTTTATAATATAATTTATGTGAAATTTCCAGAATTAACAAGTTTATAAAGACAGAAAGCAGATTAATAGTTGCCTAGAGCTGGGAGTGAAGAAGAGATAGAAAGCGATGTTATTGGGTTATGGGGCCTCTTTTTCAGGTGATGAAATGCTGTAAATTTAGACTGTGTCCATGGTTACAAAATTATGTGAATATTCTAAAACCATGAAATTGTGCACTTTAAAAAACTGAATTTGTGCTATAGTAATTATATTAATAAAGATATTAAAACAAAAGGAAAATGAGAATGTACTTTTGATTGTCTCCACTATTTGCTCTTCTAACCCTTGGCTAGTAAAACAAGCCCAAGAAGCTTTCTTCACCATATTTTACCTGAAAGGCTTGTACATTTCAGTGAGTTTATTCTTGAGGTCTCCCAGATTTTTAAGGATCTATAGCCTGCTAAAATATAACTTCCCTTAAGGTTCATGAAGCTGGGATTCTATAAGTTAGATATCAGGGCAGTCTCTCTGGGAAGATATTGTGAGCATTGGGTCCTCATATGAAATAAACTATTCTTAAAAGTGGATCATCAGAACTGAGCACATGTCAATCATTCTAAAAAAAATGACTGACTACACAAATGATTTGTTCTATCATCCTGATAAAAAAGGAGACCATTTTCTTATTGAACCTGAAACATAAGGAGACTCAATGATAGTATTTGTTTCTAAAATCTACTTGGTAAGCGAGAATCAGATACCACTTAAAATATTTTTATTTAGTTTACAGAACTAAAGATTACCAAATTGAGGGTTAGGGATTGCTTAAGAAGAAAATGAAAGGGATTTCTCATATATCCATAAAGATAGAATGTTAAATAACAAGAATGATACTTCAAATGATATCTATGGCAAAAGTTGTAGCTCCTAATTTTTTTCTGTCATGTGTAATTAATACTTATTCTTCTCAATTTTTGTTTAACAGAAAGTGTAATAGTTCAACATCCTGCTTTAACACAGGCTGTCTGCTTCAGAACATGAGTTAATTTCTGGGAAACATGACTTAGTTCACTGGTAAATATGAAGCTTGTTTAAGCAATGTCAGCTTGGAACACAATTGAGATAATGGATAAAAGTACCCAGTATAATACTTTCCATGAAGCTCTGAGATTGTGCTTTTTGAAGACACACATGCTGGCCTGTTGCTTACAGTAGAGTGTTTAGGCAAACATCAGAATAAAATGGAAATTATCTGTAGATGATAAAGACTAAAATCTGTGCTTAATTTATTACAGTGTCCAATAATATCAGAAGGCAGAAGAGTAAAATTCTCTTTCTCTACTAGTACATGTACAGTAGATGACCATTTTCATAAGTTTCTTCTTTTTTATTTTTGAGGCAGGGTCTCAGTCATTCAGGCTGGAGTACAGTGGTACAATCATGTCTCACTGCAGCCTCTGGAGAACGGTAATGCAATCATGGCTCACTGCAGCTTTGACTTCCCGGGCTCAGGTGACGGCTCCCACCTCATCCTCCAAGTAACTTGGACTACAAGGAGGTTGACCACCATGCCTGGCTAATTTTTTGTATTTTTTTGTGGAGACTGTGTTTCACCATGTTACCCAGGCTGGTCTCAAACTCCTGGGCTCGAGGGATCCGCCCACCTCAGCCTCCCAAAGTGCTGAGATTACAGGTAAGAGATGCTCTGCCAGGCCTTCATAAGGGTTCGATCAGTGTTTCTCTTGAAAATAAAAAAAATATATCATAGATAGCAAGGTCATTAACAAATCACCATATTCAAAATACAAAGTTAAGTTTCTGAAATATTTACATTATTAATATTTTAGTTATGAAAAGTTAATTTCGGGAAGGCCTGTCATCTATTATTGTTTAATGACTCCATGAAGCTTTTGCAATAGTTTTGACATAATTAGGAAACCCCTGAGTGTGTCACAATTCACCTATTTCTGGCATCTGTTTTATAAGACAAAAGAACACATCTTTGTGATTTTCCATGGATTTTGGATAAACTTAAAGGTTGTTTTAGATGTAAGAAAAACTCTGATTTTTGTTTTGTTTTGTTTCTTCTGAATTTAGAATCCAATATTAAGAAAACAATATCAAAAAAATTAACAGAATGGGTTGCTTGATTAAAATACAACAGTGAGTAGATTTCACACTTGTATGTTTAGTAAAAGTAACAAGAAAATTCTTTAAAACAAATGTCAAAGAAGCTACTGTTAGTATTGTAAGGAACCTTATAGAAAGTAATTAAAAAATTGCTTTGTTTTTATTTTTTTACAGTCAAACACATAATGAGGTTGTATCAATCAGGGTTCTCCAGAGAAACAGAACCAATAGGACTTATAGAAAAAGATTTATTATAAGGAATTGGCTAATGCAGTATGGAGGCTGAAAAGTCCCAAGTTCTATAAGCTGGAGGCCCAGAAGAGTCAATGGTGTACTTCCAGTTTGAGTCCTAAGGCCTGAGAACCAGGAGAGCTGATGCTGTAAATTCCAGTCTGAAAGTTCTTTTTGTGCATTTTGCACAAAAATAAATGATGTCCCACCTCATGCAGTCATCTAGGAAGAATTCCCTCTTAATCTTTTGGTTCTATTCAGGTTTTCAGTGGATTAGATGAGGCCCACCCTTTAGGAGCAATGTGCTTTCTCTCTTAATCCTTTGGTTCTATTCAGGTTTTCAATGGATTGGATGAAGCCCACCTTTAGGAGCAATGTGCTTTACTCAGTCTATCTATTTAAATGTTAATCTAATCCCGAAACACCCTCACAGACACATTCAGAGTAACCTTTGGCCAAGTGTCTGGGTATCTGTGGCCCAGTCAAGTTGACACAAAATGAATCATCACACTGGTCAACTTGAAGAAAACACAATTATTCTATTAAAACACTAGAGTTTACATGGATGGGAAAAAATAACCTTTTATTACTCTTTGTAAAGTGATAACTCTGAAACCAATTTATTATATTAACAGACAAAAAGCCAACTCCAAGTTTTTCATTAATATAATATTTGGCAGAATAACTTTGATGAATTAATTTCATTAAAATAAATAGCTTGTGAGTAAGAAAACTTTGCCAAAATTTTAATATATTAAAAATGTCTTTTAAAATTTAGGTGTTATATACAAAAGCGATAAAATTCCTTTCCCTTAAATGTTCTACAGTTTGCTACACTACCACAAAATTTGTTTTTCACTGTGTTCTTTTATATTCTGGATCTGATTAGCACTTTTTTTCAGGATGAAATTACTATCTTATTTATTTCATAAAAGAAAAACCAAAATAATATTTGTATTTCTCTGTAACTGCTGTTATTAATGTATTCTTAACCATTCATAATACTTAGCAGCAATTATATTCTACATTACTTAATATATATTATATTTTAGAAAAAACTGGAAGGTAGGTCATTCTGAAATGTCGCTCACACACAAACTTTTGTAATACTGGAAGCTTAGGAATACAACTAGTACATAGAGGTATATCATGATTCAACTTTTTAAACTGGCAAAAATGAATACATGTATTATTTAATGATATAGCCATGTGATAACTATAAAATAAAAAACAAAACTTTATAAACAAATTTATGCAGAACTAAGTAATTTCATGTTTGATGATATTCAAAATTATATTATCTATCAATTATCTCAATAGGTCTAAAGTTTAAATTGCCTAAAAGTATTGGAAATTACATTTAAGCTGACACGCTATAAAACTGTGTGTCATCTCAGTTTCTGTTGATATAAAAAGTCATAATAATGATTTAATTTAGTTTAACAAACTAACATCATATCAGAATAACATTAGCTCATTTAATCAACAAGCCAACATAAAGAATTTAGGCTCTTTAATTTTTTACTGAGAAAACATATATAAATATTGTAAAAAATAAAATCTCTGTAGTGATTAGTAGACTTCTAAGATGGTTCCACTTATTAGTATTTTTTAATTTGTATATATTTATCTGTTACACTGCAATTTTGCTACATTGACATATTGTATTGTGGTGAAGTCAGGGCCTCTAGTGCATCCATCATTGAAGTGTCTTTGTACTCATCAGGAAACCTCCCATCATCCACCTTCCACTCTGCCATCTCTCAGAATCTCCATCATTCCATACTCTGCTTTCATGTGTAGACATTACTTAGCTCCCACTTATAAATGAGAACATGTGATATTTGTCTTTATGTGACGGAGTTGTTTCACTTAATGACCTCTAGTTTGATCCATGTTGCTGCAAAATACATTATTTCATTATTCTGTGGCTGAATAGTATTCTATTTTGTACATATACCACATTTTCTCTTTATCCAATCCTCCATTGATAGACATTTGGGTTTATTACTTATCTTTGCTATTGTGAATAGTGCTGTGATAAACATATAGGTACAGATATATTTTGATATAATAATTTATTTTCCTTTGGGTAATGAGATTGCTGAATTTTAGGACAGCTCTATTTTTAGTTCTTTGAGAAATCTCCATTCTGTTTTCCATAGAGATTGTACTAGTTTGCCTTCCCACCAATAGCATAAAAAAGTTCCCTTTAGTCTGCAAACTTTGCAATATCTGTTATTTTTTGTCTTCTAATAATAGCCATTCTAATTGTTCTAAGATACCTCAATGCTTTTTGGCTATTTGTTTTTCTTCTTTTGCAAAATGCAATTTCATGTCCTTAGCTCAATTTGTAATGAGATTATTAGGGGTATATTTTTGAGTTGTTTGAGTTCTTTGTAAAACCGGGACATTAGTCCCATCAGGTATACAGTTTGCAAATATTTTATTGCATTCCACAGGTTGTCTGTTGATTCTTTTAATTATTTACTTCACTGTGCAAATTCTTATTAAGTTCTTTCGTCCCATTCCACAGGTTGTCTGTTCATTCTGTTAATTATTATTATTTTTTTGCTGTGCAAATGCTTATTATTGTTTTTGTTGCCTGTGTTTTTGGGTCTTATTCATGAGTTATTTGTGTAGACCAATGTTTAGAAGAGTTTTCCGTGGGGTTTTCTTCTAGTATTTTTATAGTTCAGATCTTATATTTAAGTCTTGAATCCATCTTGAGTTAAGTTTTTGTGTATGGTGAGAGATCAGAGCCAGTTGCCACTTTCATTCTTCTGCATATGGCAATCCCATTTTCCCAGCACCATTTATTAAATAAGGTGCCCTTTCCTCAGTGTATTTTCTTATCAACTTTACCAAAGATCCATGGACTGTAAGTATGAGACTTAATTTTGGGGTTCTCTATTCTGTTCTAATTACATATTCGTCTATTTTTATATCAGTACCATGCTGTTTTGTTTGTACAGACTTGTAGTATAATCTGAAGTCAGGCAATGTGGTACCTTCAGCTTTGTTCTTTTTGTTTACAATTGCTTTGGCTAATTGGGCTTGTTTTGGGGTCCATACAAATTTTAAGATTTTATTTCTAGTTCTGTGAAAAATGAGGTTGATATTTTGAGAGCAATGCATCAAATCTGTAGATTGCTTTGGGCAATAGGTTCATTTCAACAATATTAATTCTTCTGATCTATGATCATGGAATATTTTTCCACTTGTTTGTCATCTAAATTATTTTTCCTCAGTGTTTTGTAGTTTTTCTTGTAGAGATCTTTCACCTCTTTGGGTAAATATATTTCTAGTTTTTTTTTAATATAGCTATTGTAAATGGGATTCTCTTCTTGATTTGGTCATTGGCTAAACTATTATTGGTATATAGAAACACTACTGATTTCTGTGTGCTAATTTTATATCTTAATTTTTTACTGAATTCATTTATCTATGAAATCAGTAAATTCAGTAAGAGTTGTCTGTGGAGTCTTTAGCATTTTCTAGATATAAGAGCATATTATCAGCAAACAGGGATAATTTTACTTCCTCTTTTCAAATCTGGATGCCTTTAATTTTTTTTCTTCCCTGATAATACTAAGTTGAATAAGAGTAGTGAAATTGGGCAACCTTGCCTTATTGTAGTTATTAGAGGGAATGCTTTCAACTTTTCCCTGTAAAATATGATGTTGGCAGTTGGTTTGTCATACATGGCCTTATTATGCTGAAGTATGTTCCTTGTATGCCTAGTTTGTTCAGGACTTTTTCACGAAGGGATGCTGAATTTTATTAAATACTTTTTCTTCATCTATTGGGATGATTATATGGTTTTTGTCCTTAATTCTGTGAATGTAATTTATCACAATTATTGATTTCTGTATGTTGAATATCCTTGCATCCTTGAAATAAATATCACTTGATCATAGTGCATTATCTTATTATCTTTCTTGTTTTTCTTTCTTTCTTTTTTTTTTTCTTTGAGATGGAGTCTTGCTTTGTCACCACGCTGGAGTGCAGTGGTGTGATCTCGGCTCACTGCAACTTCTGCCTCCCGGTTTCAAGCAATTCTCCTGCCTCAGCCTCCCGAGTAGCTGGGACTACAGGCATGCACCACCACACCCAGCTAATTTTTGTATTATTAGTAGAGATGGGGTTTCACCATGTTGGCCCAGATGGTCTCGATTTCTTGACCTCGTGATCTGCCCACCTCAGCCTCCCCAAGTGTTGGGATTACAGGAGTGAGTCACCACACCTGGCCAGTGTATTATCTTTTTGAGGTTCTCTTGGATTCTATTTGCTAACATTCTGTTGAGGATTTTAGCATCTACATTTGTCAGTGATATTGGTCTGTAGTTTCCTTTTTGTGTGTGTGTCCTTGTCTGGTTTTGGTAACAGAATAGTAGTGGCTTTGTAAAAGAAGTTAGGGAGAATTCTTTACTCTTTGATTTTTTTTGGAATAGTTTCAGAAAGAATGATATTAGTTATTCTTTGTATGTTTGGTAGAATTTGGGTGGAAATCCATCTGGTCCTGGGCTTTTTTGTTGTTGTTGGAAGATTCTTAAATTACTCATTCATTCTTGCTACTCCTTATGTTTGAAGTATTTTTGTCTCTGGATATTCGCACTTTTGTGCAATCCTCCACCTTGAGTAAAGTGTCTGTAAATAGTGACTTGTTTCTATCAACTAGAATATGACAAATGTGGTACTATGTCATTTATGAGATTTCATTTTAAAAGGCTGCTACTTCTGTCTTGTTCCCACACTCTTTTGTTCTCCATCCCTCTTTCTTTTCGTAAAGAATTCAGCTAAAATGTTGTAAGCTACCTCATGCAGAGACCCAGGGGCAAGGATATGTGGGAAGCCTGTCAATGTACAAGAGGAACTTAATCCTACAAACAGCCATGTGAATGAGCTTGGAAAATGATCCAACACCAGTTGAGCCTTGAGATGATTTGCCAAGTTTTTCTTTCTTTTTCCTTTGAAATGTAGTAAAATATATTTAAGATAATATTCATCATTATACCATTTATAATTGGAAAATTCAGTGGCAGTATATAGTATTTTTGTGTAACCATCAACTCAATCTATACCCAACACTTTTTATCATTATGAACATAACACTATACCCATTAAACAATAATTTCCCTTACTCTGGCTCCTAGTAACCTCTATTCTAGTTATGCTAACATGAGTTTGTCTATTTGAGGTACCTCATGTAAGTGGAATCACACAATATTTGTCCTTCTGTTTCTGGCTTATTTCACAAGGCATAGTATTTTCAATGTCTATCGATACCATAGCATATATCAAAATTTAATTTTTTATGGCTGAATAATGGTCAATTATATGTATGTATCACCTTTTGTTTATCCATTCATTTGTTGATAGACACTTTTGGACTATTTCAAATTATAGCTATTATTGTAAAATATCTGTTAGATTTTCTGTTTTCAATTATTTTGCATATTTATCCAGGAGTAATTCCTGGGTAGTATACTTAACATTTTGAAAAACTGTCCAACTGTTTTCTACCAGGGCTACACTATTTTATATACTACCACCAGTGGACAGGAGCTCCAGTTTCTTCACACCCTTGCCAACAGTTTTTATTTTCCATATTATTTTGAATATATTCATCCTAGCATGTGTAAAGTGGTATCTCATTGTGGTTTTGATTTATATTTCCCTAATGATTAGTGATGTTAATCATCTTTTCATGTGCTTATTGGCCATTTTGTATGTCTTTGGAGAAATGTCTATTTAAGTACATCACTCATTTTTTTGTTTGTTTGTTTTTGAAATGAGGTCTCATTGTGTCACCCAAGCTGGAATGCAGTGGTGCAATCATAAGTCACTGCAGTCTCAGATTCCTGGGCTCAAGTGATCCTTTCATATTAGCCTACAGAGTAGCTGGGATTACAGGTATAAGCCACTGCACCTGGCACTTGCCCAGTGTCTAATTGGATTGTTTGTTTTCTATTGTTGTTGAGTTGTAGAGCTTTAAAAATATATACTCTGGATATTAACATCTTATCAAATATATGATGTGCAAATACATTCTCATTCTGAGGATTGGGTTTTTACTCTCTTAGTGTACTTTGGTTAAACAAGTTCTTAATTTTTTAATTTTTTAATTATTTTAAAACATTTTTGTGGATACATAGTGTATATATATATATATTTACAGGGTACATGAGATGTTTTGATATAGGTGGGGAAAATATTTAAATAGACATTTCTCAAAAGAAGATATACAAATGGCAAAAAGGCATAAGAAAAGATGCTCAACATCGTTGATCATCAAAGAAATGCAAATCAAAACAACAATGAGATACAACTCACACAGGTTAAAATGGTTTATATTAAAAAAATAGGCGATAAAAAATACTGGTGAGGATGTGGAGAAAAAGAAACCCTTGCACACTGTTGGTGGTAATGGAAATTAGTACAATCACATGGAGAAGTTTGGAGGCTTCTCAAATAAACTAAAAATTGAGCTCCTATTTGACCCAGCAATCTCACTGCTTGGTATATACCGAAAAGAAAAGAAATTGCTATAGCAGAGATATCTCCACTCCTGTTTGTTGCAGCACTGTTTACAATAGATAAGATTTCGAAGCAACCTAAGTGTCTGTCAACAGATGAATGGATACAGAAAATGTGGTATATATACCCACTGGAGTACTACTCAGCCATAAAAAAAAAAATGAGATCCAGTCATTTGCAACAACATGGATGGAACTGGAGATCATTATGTTAAGTGAAAAAAGACAGGAACAGAAAGACAAACATTGCATATTCTCACTTATTTGTGGGATCTAAAAATAAAAACAGTTGAACTCATTGACATAGAGAGCAGAAGGAACGGCTGGGCATGGTGGCTCACGCTTGTAATCCCAGCACTTTGGGAAGCCGAGGCAGATGGATCACCTGAGGTCAGCAGTTCAAGACCTGCCTGGCCAACACGGTGAAACCCCGTCTCTAGTAAAAATCCAAAAAAAAAAAAAAAAAAAAAAAATTAGCAGAGCATGGTATGGCATGCCTGTAACCAGCTACTTGGGAGGCTGAGGCAGGAGAATTGCTTGAACCCCAGAGACGGTGGTTGCAGTGAGCTGAGAAGCTGAGATCACGCCACTGCCCATTGTCTGGGCAACAAGAGCAAAGCTCTGTCTAAAAAAAAAAAAAAAAAAAAAATAGTTACCAGAAGCTGGGAAACATAGTGTGGGGCTGGTGGGGTAATGGAGATTGGTAAAGTGAACAGAAAAATAAAAATAAAAACCAGATTATATAAGAAGCTCAAATAATTCTATAGGAAAAAATAGAATAATCTCATTAAAAGTTCTTAATTTTGAAGTCCAATGTATTTATTTATTTTTTGTTGCCTGTTCTTTTCGTGTTATGTCCAAAAAGTCATTGCCAAATCCAATGTCATGAAGATGTTCCCCAATGTTTTTGTCTAAGAGTTTTATAGTTTAGCAATTATGTTTAGATTTTAATCCACTTTGAATTTATTTTTGTATATACTGTAAGTTAACAATCCAACTTCATTCTTTCACATATAGATATACAGTTTTCTTAGCATCATTTCTTGAAATACTGTTCTTTATCCATTTAATGATCTTGACACCTCATTATCTGATTGAAAATCAGTTGACAATATATATGAGTTTATTGCTGGCCTCTCTTTCCTACTGCATTGGCTTATATGTCGTTCCTTATTTCAGTACCATCCTGTTTTAATTACTGTAACTTTAAAGTAAGGTTTGAAGCCAAGGACAATGAGTTTTCCAACTTTATTCTTTTTTTTTCAAGATTACTTTAGCTATTAAAGTCCTTTCAGTTTCATATAAATTTGAGGATTGGCTTTTGCATTTCTGCAAAATAATGCTATTGATATTTTGATAGAGATTGTGCAGAATTTGTGTATCACTCGGGTTAGTATTAATATCTTCACAATGTTAGAGCTTCCTATCCATAAACATGAACAACATAGAACATTTTTATATTTATTTATGTCTTCTTTGATTTCATTCTGCAATGTTTTACAGCTTGTAGTTCGCTAGGCTTTCACCTCCCAGATTAGATATATCCTTATGCATTTAATTCTTTCAGAAGCTATTGTAAATGAATTGCTTTCTTAATTTAGTTTTGTATTTTTTATTGCTGATGTATGGAAACACAATTGAGTTTTACATGTTGACCATGTATCCTGCAACTTTACTGAATTTGTTTATTGGCTCTAAGAGTTTTCTTGTGGATTCTTGGGATTTTCCATGTGTGGGTTTATGCCATTACTTGATAGGAATAATTCTACCTCTTCCGTTCCAATTTAGAATTTTTTAAATTTCTTCCTCTTGTTCAATATCCCTGGCAAAAATGTCCATAACAATGTTGAATAGCAGCAGTGAAAACTGACTTCCTCATCTCTTTTTTATCTTAAGGAAGAAACTTTCATTCTTTTGTCATCGATTATAATATAAGCTGTGAGTTTTTTGCAAATACTCTATCATGTTGAACAATAGTCCCTCTATTCTTAGTTTTCTGTGAGGTTTTACCATGAAAAGTTACTCAGTTTTGTCTTCTGTGTCAATTGAAATTATCGCTTTTTCATTTTGTTTTATTAGTGCAATGTATTGGATTGATTGATATTCTTATGTTGAACTACCCTTGCATTCATGGAACAAGTTCCACTTGGTCATTGTGAATAATCCTTTTAATATGCTGTTGGTTTTTATTTGCTACTGCTTTGTTGAGAATTTTTAAATTTATATTCGTAAGAGATATTGGTCAGTAATTTTCTTGTAATGTTTTCATCTGTCTTTGGTAACAAGGTAATGCTAATCTTACAGATGTATTAGTGATTGGTGTTCTTCATTTTGTTCATATATCATTTTCTAGTCTATGTCCATAGCTTCTTTCAGTTCTTTGAGTATCATTAAGACAGATGTTTAAACATCTTTGTCTAGTAAGTTTTATGTCATAGCTTCATTAAGGATGGTTTCTGTTGATTTATTTTGTTCTTTTAAATGGTGTGTATGTACTTTCCTGTTTTACAATATGCTTTGGATTTCCGGTTGAAAACTAGCATTTAATTTTATAATGTGGTAGTTCTGGAAACCAGTTTTCCTATTTTACAGAGGGTTTGCTTTTTCTTTAGTTACTTTTTATTATTGAACGTTGTCTTTATGCCTTGTATCATCTTGAGGTGAAAATATAAAAAATCTTAGTTTTTCTCTTGAGATTCTGTCTTCCTCTAGGCATGTGCCATTTGTTTTCTAAGTTCCACCATGTATGTAGTTGCTTTTGAATTTCCTAATCCTTAAATATCTAGCTCCCTAAAGAAGAAAAAGAGAGAAAGAGGGAGAAAAAACAAACAAAACAGAAAACAGAGGATGCTCCTTTGTATTTCCTGGAAGCCACACTTTAACCAGTTAAGGATGGAAACAATGGTGGCCAGCCTCTGCACCTGCACTTAGTAATCAAAAGCAGCAGTCATCAGTCAGAACACATAACCCCGATATTTGGATGACAAAATTCTGATTGCCCAATATAGCTCCAGAAGGCCATATCAGGAATGCAGGCTGCTTGCATTGGACTAGGGGTATGGTGTTGGTAGCAGTTATGGAACTAAAGGCTAAAATTGACAGAAATTAACTGTAATTTGCCAGTCATGGCTTTCCCTGGGAAGCTGCCAGTGTTCTAAAGAATGTGGTGTTCCAAAATAGTTATTCTAGACAGTTTTTGTCAGTACAATTGTCAGTACAAATAGAGAGATGGAATCCTGGTGTTTCATACTGTGCCATCTTCTCTGACATCACTCTCCTTGCCAACATTTTGATTGCAGCCTTTTGTGAGATCTGGAGCCATAAGACCCAGCAAAGCTGTGTCTGGATTTCTGCCCAACAGAAATGATAAAATACTAAATAAAATAAACGTTTGCTGCTTCAAGCATCAAAGTTCTGCATCAATTTGTTACCAAGCAAATAAATAATTTAAACATATGATTCTATATTTGTGTACAATAACATATAATATACTTCCATGTTTTATTGATATTATAATTTAATATTTACTTGTAACATAATAGTATATATTATGAACATATTATAATATAATATTTTATATGTAATGGGTAAATCAGAGAAAATTAATTTAGTGCTTTTTATTTTCTAAAAGTAAAACAAAAATTATCAAACCAATCTGATATATCTAAAGATTCAACTTTAATATGTGAAAATGGATAATTATATTGTATTTAAGAAAACAATTAATGTAAAAAGTGTATTTTAAAAGGTCTAGCACATTTAGAGTGTAAGAAATTCACTTTCTATATCTTCACGTTAGGGAATGTTTTATCTATATAGTGCTCATTTACCTCTACAAATCAGTCAGATAATATAATATTATTTATTAATATCCCCTACTGGTAGAAAAATTCTTTATACTCACATAACCAGAGGTAAATTGCACACATTTTCTGAAGTACGCATATCAGATACATAGGCATAGGGAGAGCTAATAGCTCCAGTTGTGAAACTTTAGCCATAGTTCAAAAGGAAACACAAAATTTCTCCTGACAATATTTCAAAAAATTGTTGTTCTCAATGAGCATAAAATTCTTCATTGATTTTAATTCACAGGTATACAAATATACAAACAAACTAAAAGCTTAAAAACTGGATGCTCTTGTCATTCACATAGCAGATGCTCATTCTCCACTAGCCAGTGAAGAAAACATTAAATTTCCATAAAATCAAATTTCCAATTATTATTAACATTAAAGGAAAACAGCTTAACACTGCCTGTAAGTGAACCAGAAACAGGTGTGCACCCTTGCACAAACACACAATTATTACAAAACAAACAATACAAAATGAGAGAACAGCAAAGCTACAGCTTCATTGCCATTTGGGATTTGTTTTAAAAGCCAAAAAAATACATTCTTGGATCAAAGCAGCTATGAGCTATATGTGTACAGTAATAAAAATATATAATAATCATATGTCAAATAAAAACTCGGTATGTAATGATGAAACCAGTAAATGATTAAAACTAGTACAGCATAATAATTGGACTTACACAGATTTATATTATTTACTGGACAAAATTTATATCTATGAACAGTAATCATCTGCATTGTTGTGAACAAAAAATTTTTCATTGCTCTTAGCTTACTAGGAATTAAATGTATAACCCTAGAGGACTGTAAAATAGCTTAGATAGTAGTGAACCAACCAAATGTGCAGACCCCTGTGGAATCAGGTAATAGTTGAAGGATGCACCAGAAAATGCCAGGAATTATCCTGGAAAGACACCCAGCAATTCTTTTGCCCATCTCTACATACTTTTATCAGGTTACACCATGTGATTTAAATAGGTAAAGCCTTGATGGGGTGAATTTATATATTATTATGGAAACCCCAAGGTGAAGGAAGATAGATACCAAAAGCAAATTGAGCTTGCCAGCCATTGATTAACTTTGTACCAGTTAGGAAGCAATTTATTTGTCGATATCAATTAAAAATACTGCCCACACTTTCTCCCTAACAACTTTTTCAAATACATGTTGTCCTATAGGGATGTGCAAGTGTTCTGGTAAGTTCAATTACAAAGGAATAATTTGCTGAGGGCTTACATTGGTGTGAATGTATTAAATGTGTTTTGTCTGGGATGCACACCCTATGGAAGATGAAGGGACTTAAAGCACTAGAGACCATCCTTTCTGGCAGTTCTCCACTACATTAAGCTGGGCATTGCCAGCCATAAGCTGGAATCTCAAAGGTGAAAACTATACCAAATGACTTAAATTTAGTGCAAAGGGGATAGATATAGATCTTGAATTCACTGTGTTTTGCTAAGGTCTTAATTTTTTTATAATAACTTCAGTGTAAAAAAAGTTACACATTGGGTACAGTGTATACTGCTTGGGTGATGGTGCACCAAAATCTCAGAAATCACCACTAAAGAACTTATTCATGTAAGTAAACACTACTTATTCCCCAAAACCTATTGAATTGTTTTTAAAAGTAAATTAAAAATAAATAAATAAAAGGAAAACAAAGTTAAAGTCATAAAAATATTAATGAAATAACAGTACAGCAGGTAATAAGACATGACAAAAAATTATGTAAGGGAATTGTGATGCCCAAAACCAGCAAAATATCCTGTTAAATGAAGTTTCCCTCAGAGAGAAGTATTGAATCCTATGAATCCATGTATGTGCAGAACAAAAAAAAAAACAGTTTCTAAATTGAATAACTTACATAGAAAAGGATATCTGTTAACTCTACTATTCTAATTAATATGAGAATATTAATAAATTAAAATATATTATATTCCTCTATGACTTAGAAAAGTTGACCACATAAATATGAATCCATATCTAGAATTATTTCTTTATTCTTTTTTCTTTTTTTTTGAGACAGAGTTTCATTCTTGTTGCCCAGGCTGTAGTGCAATGGCACGATCTTGGCTCACTGCAAACTCTGCCTCCCAAGTTTAAGCGATTCTCCTGCCTCAGCCTATCAGGTAGCTGGAATTATAGGCATGCACCACCACTCCTGGCTAATTTTTTGTATTTAGTATAGACAGAGTTTCACCATGTTAGTCAGGCTGATCTCAAACTCCTGATCTCAGGTGATCCACCTGCCTTGGCCTCCTAAAGTGCTGGGATTACAGGCGTGTGCCACTGCGCCCAGCCTATTTCTTTATTCTTTAAGGTACTAGTTAAATACTTTATTTTAAACCTAATGACCCATGCTTATAAATAAATGCTTTATTTAATGTTTACATTAAATAATTAATATTTAAATGATTCTTTTCTATATTTGAAGAATGATATATTCTGTAAACTGAATCAAAATAAATAATTTAATTCTGATGGTTTTTAATAGGGCCATCAATTTTCAAAAGTGGGATACTGCGATTAAATTTTCTGAAATGTAGCTTGAAAATATCTAGGAAACAAGAAACAAATTAGATGCAAATGCTATCAGTAGAGGCTGCACAATGGTGGCAAGCAGTCTGAATTCAGCCCTTCAAAGAGATTTGGTTTGTACAGATTAATAATCTGTTGGTTTTTAGTTTTAATTATTTTAGATAATGGCACATATTTCAACATTCTAGTTTGAATCATGCTTTATTTTCTTAATTCTAATTCACCAATTCTAATAAGCTTCGCTCATTTGCATTTACTTCTTGAACCCTGTATTCATTTGCATTTGGTACTCCTGCCTGAAACCTCTCTTTTCTGGAAGTAAATAATTACTAGTAGATTTGCAAAAGCAGAGTGTCATAGAGAAAAAAATCCACCCTATCCGCTGCCCTGGGGGTTACATATATTTCTGAATTAGGAAAGCTGGTACGCCCTTTCACTTCCTTCCAGGTCAAAGAATAATAATAGCAATAATAACATCTAGTACATGCATATTCTCTACCAATCCTCATTAATGGCTTTATTAGTAGGGTCAATTTATAAATAAGGAAACTGAGACACCAATTACTTTTTTAAGATACTAAGTGATAGAGCCATGATTCTAACATGGATGGCTGGACACCACAGACCATGCTCTCCACTGCTTCTCTATTTGACCACTGTTGATGCACTGATAAATCATCTAATGGCTCAAAGGCAACCTTAAAAATAATTGTACATATGTAGCATTTTACTCAGTAGTCTACAAATATTAATTCACTTAATTGTCTTCAGTATCTGTGAAATATGTACTTTTATTATTGCTGTTTTACTGATGAGAAAACTAAGACACAGAAAAGTCAATGGCTAGTTCAAGATCAAATAGCAGAACAGGGCCATAGTCAAAATTTAATTCACCCAGTCTAGCTCCAGAACCTGTTCTGAGAGTCTTCTTTATATTTATCTTAAGTTATTGCAAATAAGTTATGAAGCAGGAATACGCAATCACAGGAATATGTCCTACAGTTAATTACTTATTTTAATCTCTGAAGTTAATCATGTGCTAAAGTAGCAAGTTTTCTTACCCAAATAATTCTCTATTAGTGGCATATTTTGGCCTCTGGTTTAAAGGGCTCTCCGTATTAGTATGGTTCCCATTGTGGTCATTCTTTTTATACAAATAGAAACTTGCTTAAAAAGATTCAGAGGCATTACTGAATTTATCATCCAAGTGTGGAATAGATATCGAATGGGGTAGAGAAACAACACAGCTCTGTCTTAATCATGCAATACAGTAAAGCTTCAATAGCTAGAGTCCCGGGGCAGTGTAGAGAAGAGAGAATATCAATAGAGACTATCAGTTTACCATTTGTGTGTCTGTTTTATTAATGACAATGACAGTCTCTACAAGAACAGGAAGGTGGTAATATGGATCAGCTGTATGTCCCCACCCAAATGTCATGTCAAATTTAATCCCCACCTCTTGAAGGAGGGGCCCCGTGGGAGGTGACTGGATCATGGGGGCGATTTCCCCCTTGCTGTTCTCATGATGAGTTTTCACAAGATCTGGTTGTTTAAAAATGTGTAGCACTTCCACCCTCACTCTCTCTCTCCTGCTGTGTCATGGTAAGATGTGCTGGCTTCCCCTTTGCCTTACACCATGATTGTAACTTTCCTGAGGCCTCCCAGCCATTTTTCCTGCAGAGCCTGCAGAACTGTGAGTTAACCAAACCTCTTTTCTTCATAAAATACCCAGTCTCAAGTAGTTAGTTCTTTATCGCAGCGTGAGAACAGACTAATACAGGTGGCCTCGCTCATGCTTTCATTATTTGTCTGGTGCAAGTGAATACAAGTAAGCAAAAGGGGTACTGGGATAACCAGCTCATCCCAGTTTGCCAAAGATGTCATTTATTTTAATACTGTATGTTCCGACTCCCTTTAGTCCTGAGCAAAATCAGGATGATTGTTCATCATAAATTGGACTTTTCTAAATGCAGATAAGAATAGCGGTGAAGTTTACCACTTTCCTGCCTAATGTCATGTTTTTTCTGAAGGACAGTGTTTATAACTATGAGCAAACACCTGTCAGAAATCAGGCAAATGTGTAATAACTATGTGGTTAGATGCAATGGAAATTAAAATAGGAATGTTCCTCTTCAGAGCACCTATCAACTTGCTTTATTATAAAATAGTCTCCATATGGTCTAATCAAATGTTTTAACATTTCAATGAGATTCCCTGGCCAGGATAATTTGCTCACTAAGATGATGAGTTAAGTAACTGCTGACGCCATTTTAAAATTGTTGCTACCTTTATTTTTATGTAATAGTCTTATTGTAAAGATATAGAGGAGAATTAAAACCATTAAAATGTCTCATAATTAGCACTCAAGGAAAGCATATATTATGCTTTGTACCCTTGGAAATGCAAGATTAACTGTTCTTAACATAGCATAGCATTATCATAACATTAACATTCTAGGCCCATATACAGTATTTTGCTCATTTGCTCTCTCAATTTGAATTCACTGTTAGTTCTCTTTAATGACTTTATGTCCCTAGTAAATAAGCACTTTTAATGGGGATGTTGCATAGGTCTCCATTTAACATACAGCTACCTAAAAGGACAGTTATTCACTGACTCATGACTGGCTGATTATTTTGCAGCTAATAACCTGCTCCTCTAAAGAATAAACCTGTACTTTGAACCATGATAACGCTTAAATCAAAAGTAGCAAAACATGTAAAAACTGACATTTACGGTTGAAAATATTGATTTATGTATACCAGAACTTTGTGTCAGGTGTTATTACATTTCACATGTATGAAATAAGAAAATGAGTTTCCATCAGTGGAACCTATTATTTGGAATGAATTGGACTTGTGGAATTAAAAGAAGATAGTCAACTTATCTTACACCTATGCTGTAAAATCCAATCTTAGGTTACCTTTTTAAAATGAACCTGTAAGAGGTAATTTTCTTCAAATAATGATATCACGCTCTATAAATAATATCTTCAAATGTAGCATTGAAAGCTATGCACTATTGATTATTTTATGTCATATTTTATTTAATGAATTTCAGCTATTCCACGTAAATATTGATATCTGTCATTCAACACACCTGGTTCTTTATGAGTTTATTGTTTAGTTTTGTTTTTGGGCTAGGCATGACTGAAACACCTGAACACATAGCTGCTAGGGGCCAAAGGGCCAAGACCTCTGCCTAAGGCATCACAAATTGGACACTGGCAACTCTAGAGGCACCATTCACACAACTGAACATGGGCCCTGTTCTAGGCACACTATCAGCAAAGAAACTATCTCATCAGAGACAATTGAAATGTTTCAGGATATGAAGCCAACTATCAACTATATTTAAGATTAATCATTAATCTTAGCGAGGATGGCATGCAGAGTTAAAATAAATGAGAATTATTCTTACAAAAAAGGGGTGTGATTTTGTGCAAGTTAGCTTAACTCATTCAGTATCAGTTACCTCACATGTAAAGGAACATTGATCTATTCTTCAAGAGTTTATTATGAGACTTAAGTAAGATAATTTATTACAGCACCAGTCCTATGGTTTAGCTCAGAATATTCCTGTCTTCTGATATAATTTCTATCAACTGATTTATCCCCACTTTTCATTAAAAGATACTAGCTATTTGAGGTTTTCAAGTCAGATATTAAGTATTTCAATGGTGCATAGTTGTAATTTTTAAAATATATTTTTATCATAATGTTCAAAATACATTTATAGTTATAACAATCTTATTAAAGATTTAAAAAGTTAATGTAATGAGGAATGCCAGCAAAATTGTTACTTCACTTTTATACAATATAAATGAGTAAAGATGTTGACAAATTTAAAATAAATGTGAATTATAGTTTATAAATATTCTTATAATCTAAGAAGAAAATGAAGAAAGTAGACCTGCACCCATCTATCATGCTGTACTTTACTTGTAAGTTATCAAGTGTTGGTTTTTTAATTTGTTATAGATGCAAGACTGTAGTCTAACTGATATATCTGTAACTGAGAAGCTGTTTGAGAAAGCTTCTAATGCCACTGTCAGAATGGATCATGCTTCATCATCTTACATGAGGAAAGGTGGTCAATTCCCGCATATGGATACATCAGTTGCCATGCTTGTGGTCTTATCTGTATTCATTGACTTGACTAAGTTCTAAGAATCACAACTCCAGCATCTTCAATAAATCTTTAATTTTCAGTTTTTTATTTCTTTATCATTTCTCGTATTATTTTTATTATTATTTATAAAATAAATTTTATAAATAAAAATCCCCAAGGACCTAATTTATTTTTATAGCATCAACTGCTAGTTGCACTTCATGATAATACGTGCTTAGATTATACTTTCTCTCATTTTTCATCTATATCTATCAAAATAATATATTGGTAGAAACATCCTCCAAGCAGAAAATTGAAATATAATGAATAACTTGATGCTATGTAGGTTTTTTTTAATTAAAATCCATGTGTATCAGTAATTGTTCTATTATGTATGAAATAGATAATGAAAAAGGAAACTACAAATAAGACAAACTCAAGCGTGGAAACGCAAAGAGCATATTTTACTACAATGTCTTTGTGTGCAGGACAAAAGAAGTTATGTAAACTGAAAATACCTAAAAGTGTGCATTTATGAAAGTCATAAAGTATAAATACACATTATTTTCAGTGCATAGACTATGTAATATTTCAGGTAAATGGTGTCATTGCATGTAAAATAAATATTTCTGCCATATTATATATTTATATTAATACATTAAGATTTTAAAATAATATTTTTAAAATAATCCTTTTATCTCTCATATATATGTATAACCTTAAGTAGCTTCAGAATTATTTATTGGTTTTGCTTTATCATCTATTCGAGGCTTTGTTATTAGATAATTAGATAAATTATTTCATTGGATATTGTTTATGAATAAGCACTTTATCATTATGAAGTGCCCCACTGGTAATATCTCTTGTTCTGAAGTCTAGTTTCTCTGATATTAATAAATTCATTTCAGGATTCTTGAGTTGGTATTTGCCTGCTATATTCTTCTCCATTTATCAGTTTTATTCTATCTAAAATTCTATATTTTTAATCACTTTTTGTAAATAGCTCATAGTTTTGTCTTTTAAAAAAATTAATATGACTATGTCTGCTTTTGGATTGGTGTGTTTAAAACTGTACTATTCCACATGATAGCCACTAGCCACATGTGGCTGTTGAGCTTTTTAAAGTGTTGCTAGCCTACATTGGTATCTTAGATAGGTGCTATAAGTATAAAATATACTCCAGCTTTCAATAATTTATAAAAAACGTAATACATGTTATTAATAATTTTTATTTTGATATTTTGAAATAATCTTTAAAATATTTGTTTAGAATATAATAGTGACATCAAATAATCTTTTTTTTCTAATGCAGGTAATAGAAAATTTAAAATTATATTTGTGACTCAAATAATTTTCATATTGAGAAGTCCTGGTTTAGACAACTTGCATCAAGGAAATTGTTGTTTCTTGTTTTTTATTTTTATTTTTTGTGAGACAGGGTCTCAGTCTGTCACGCAGGTTGGAGTGCAGTGGGACAATCACGGTTCACTGTAGCCTTGACCTTCCAGGCTCAGGCGATGCTCCAGCTAAGCCTCCTGAATAGCGGAGACTACAAGCACAGGCTACCATGCTTGACTAATTTCTTGGTAGTTTTGTAGAGACTGAGTTTTGCCATGCTGCCCAGTTGGTTTTGAACTCCTGGACTGAAGTGATCTGCCCACCTCGGCCTCCCAAAGTGTTGGGATTACAGGAATGAGCCATTGTGTCTGGCCTGCATTTATTATTTTCTTTTTCTAGAAGAACTTTCGCAAACTTCCTTATAGTACTAGTCAAATGACAAAAAAGTCTCTCCGATCTCCAAAACATCTTTATGTTCAGTTTTTAAAAATACTTTTACTGGATATAGAATTCTGGGTATTTTAATTCTTGCCATTCCTCCTCTATCTGTGTTTGTTTTTATTATTATTTTCTGGCTGTTTTAATAGGTTTTCTCTATCAATTATTTTCAGTAATTTGATGTACTTGGTGTGATTTATTTTATGTTTATTCTCTCTTGTGGTTTATTTTATGTTTATTCTACTTAAACTGACTTTTTACCTTCTTACATCTGGGATTTTTATAATTTACATCATATTTTAAAAAGTTATGGTCATCATTAAAATTTCTTTTTCTTTTTTTTCCCCATCTTCATTGTAGAATTTCAACAGTATGCATGTATTCCACAGGTCACTGTAGGTCTGTTCCTTTTTTTAAAAAAATTATTCTCAGTCTTGCTTTTTCATTTTGAAAAATGTCTGTTGGTATGTCTTCAGGCTCACTGACATTTTATTCTGCAATATCATATTTTTTGTAATAACCAAACTCCGTTCATTTTTTAAATCTCAAATATTTTATATTATATATATAGAAATTTCATTCATGCTTTTATATATCTTTCATTTCTCATGTTCAAGTTTTCTTTTATGTCATTGAGCATAGTAATAATATTTATAATAGGTATTTTAAAGTTTGCATCTGATTATTCATTTTCTCTATGATTTCTATTAATTTACTTTTTTTCTGTTTTCTCTTCACATTTTCTTGCTTCACATACCTGATATTTGTTTGGATGCTGTAAATCACGGAATTATGTTTTGACTGCTACAATTCAAAGAGTATTGTACTTTGTTTCACATAATTATACATAAATTACTGCAGATTAGTTTTATCTTTTAGAGATATCTTTTAAGCTTGCTTAAGTGTGTCTATAATACTCTTTACCTTTATGCTAATGTGTCACCAATGATAGGGCATGACCCTTTAGAGGTCTTTCCTTAGTGCCCTGTGTATTATGAGGCATATTGACTTCCCAGGCATAGGAACTCTGGGAATAATTTCACCTTCTGTTTACTGGTGGTTCTTTCCTGGATATTGGGGATTTCAAGCCCTTATTTCACGCACAGGACAGCATATTCTAGCAAAATACGATTTATCAAAATATGATCCCTCTCTTCATTCAGAGAGACTAAAGCACTGCTTGGGTATCAAGTCCTCTGGCCATTGCCTGTGGGTAGTTTCACTTTTCAGAGATCACCGTCCTCGCTTATGTGTGGACCATCATTCTTTTTTTTTTTTCTTTTTTCTTTCTTTTTTTTTTTTTTTTTGAGATGGAGTCTCGCTCTGTCGCCCAGGCTGGAGTGCAGCAGCGAGATCTCGGCTTACTGCAAGCTCCACCTCCCGGGTTCACGCCATTCTCCTGCCTCCGCCTCCCGAGTAGCTGGGACTACAGGTGCCCGCCACCGCGCCCGGCTATTTTTTTAATTTTATTTTTGGTAGAGACGGGTTTTCACCATGTTAGTCAGGATGATCTCGATCTCCTGACCTCGTGATCCACCCGCCTCGGCCTCCCAAAGTGCTGGGATTACAGGCATGAGCCACCGCGCCTGCCCACATGCTGACCATTCTAAAAACACTTGTTTTATATGCTTTTTAGTATTCTATATATTTAAGATAGGAGGAAAATTCCTATTGTAGTTAATCCTTGATTAAAGGGATAGATTTTTAAAACAATTTTCAATCATGAGGATTTTACTGACTATATTGTGAGATAACATCTCAATTTAAAAGAATGTTATGTGTATTTACCATTTTAAGTTTCTTACTAGTAGGACGGTTTTGAAGGTATCTAAGTCAGCACATTTTCAGACTATACCAAGCGTCTCAAGTTAAATGAGGTTAATATTAATATGTTATAAATTCAGATAGTAATTACATGGTAGTAACATGAATCAGAGCAACAATTATTAAGAAATCTTTTATATTTTTATTTGTTTTACATTAAAAACATCTTTGAATTTTGCATCACATCCATGAGGTATTCTTTCAAATATACTGATAAAAGGTGAGTTTTTTATTTTTATTTTTTTTGAGACGGAGTCTCGCTCTGTTGCCCAGGCTGGAGTGCAGCAGCGAGATCTTGGCTCACTGCAAGCTCCGCCTCCCAGGTTCACGCCATCCTCCTGCCTCAGCCTCCCGAATAGCTGGGACTACAGGTGCCCACCACCACGCCCAGCTGATTTCTTGTATTTTTAGTAGAGATGGGGTTTCACTGTGTTAGCCAGGATGGTCTTGATCTCCTGACTTCGTGATCTGCCCTGCCTCGGCCTCCCAAAGTGCTGGGATTACAAGTGTGAGCCACCGCACCTGGCCAAAGGTGAGTATTTTTTGGCAGTCAACTTATTTAATATAATACCTTAGAGGTTCAAGTAAGATTGGCATTCTACCAAGATGTACCATGTTCATTTGTAACTTTGTGAATTGCCTGACACAATTTCCGTCGGGTCCTTCTACATCTACCTAATAGTCTCATTTTTTTTTCATGTTTCTCAGGTCAGGTAATTTTATTTTAATTTCCAGGGAAAAATATCCTACCAATATTTGCTTTCAAATTTTGTTGTTTTGTTATAAACTCTACATTTCTCTTGTCCTAGCCCTTCCATTTTCATTTTCAAAAAAACGATTTCGCAAGCCAAATAATCTAACATTGACAAATTCTCCATATTATCAGTTGATCACTCTACCTCTCTAGATAATACAGATGCCTTTGACTAAATGAAAAATGTAACTTAAATAAATATGAACCCAAAGAAACAAAGATTAATACATTAGAATATGATCTTTCTACAATAAAACCCCATCAGGCATAATTGCTACCATAACTTTTATATTTCTAACAAAATTCAGTTTGTTCAAAATCAAGTGGACAAAATACCCAGAAGAAATAAGTAAATCTATAATTATAGAAAACTACACACACACACACACACACACACACACACACACACACACACATAATCTCTCTCTCTTTCCTCCAAAAACTGATAAAGCAAACCCTCCAAAAAATTTACAAATGTATTGAAGACTTGAACAGTAAAATCAATATAATTAACACTGTTGATTTAATAATATATTAAGATCTTCCCTATTGAAGACATAGCTATTTGCCTATATACATCTATTTTATTGTCCATTTCTTATTGTTTTAAGTCACATTTTATTCCAAGTGTCATTGCCTTATTTCTTCCATGTATTCAGGAAGGGTGTCCATGAGCTAGAAAAAGGAGATAGTGATTCATGTAAGCCAATTGCAATAGAGCGAATATTTGTGACCACCAAATTCATATTTTGAAACCCTAATCTCAGTGTAATGATTTTTGGAGGAGTGAGACCTTTAGGAGGCAATTAGGTTACCTTCATAAGGGTAGAGCCCTCATGAAAGGAATTAGTGCTCTTAAAAGAAGAGGCCAGAGAGTTAGCTAGTTCCCTTTGTATCATATGAGCACACAAGACTATGATTGTCTATAAACTAGGAAGATGGCCTTCACTAAGAGTCTACCATACTGGCAACTTGTTCTAGACTTTCAGTCTCCAGGACTGTAAGATATATTCACTTGTTGTTCAAAGCACCAGTCTATGGTATTCTGTTATAACATCTAGAACTAAGACATAAATGAGTACCAAAAGGGAAGTGCTGCTGTAACAATTATCTAAAGCCGTGAAAGCAGTTTTGGAACTGGATAATGAGTATTGGAGAAGAATTTTGAAGTACATGCTAGAAGAAACTGAGATTGTCATAAAAGGATTTTTAAAAGCAATACTGGTGAGGGCTCAGAAAGAAAAGAGAGCTTAGAGAAAACTTGCATCTTCTTACAGAATAGATAAATAATCATGTACCCAATGTTGATATAATTATGGGCAGTAAAGGCAATTCTGATGAAGTCTCAGATGAGAATGAGTAACATATTATTGGATAATGAAAAAAAGATTATCCTTGTCACAAAGTAGCAAAGAAGTTGCCTGAATTGCATTTCTGTTTTAATGTTTTGTGGACAGTAGAACTTGTAAGTGATGAAACTGGATATTTAGTTGAGGACATTTCTAAGCCAAGTGTTAAAGGAGTAGCTTGGTTCCTCTTGACTGCTTGTAGTAAAATGCAAGAAGAGAAATAACTTGAAATGAGTATTTTTAAGCAAAAGGGAACTTGAACTTAAAGATTTAAAATATTCTCAGTTAATCCCTATTGCAGATAATAAGTATGGCCAAGAAACAGTTTGATAAGGAGATTAACATGGGTGTAAATCACTAACTTAATCAGCCAATTCAGCAGAAAACATACAAGTCTGAACTGAAGGGGAAGGAGATAGAAGAAATAGAGAAAGACTCTCTGACTTCCTCTATTTCACAGGATGGGAGATAGAGCTATTTGGCTGCAAATGCACATTTCATAATAATGCTATATAATAGGCTATACAATATGTTTTATATAACACATTATAAATAATATATACATAATATGTATAATATATTTGATGTCATAAAGTTGATTTTTTCTTTCTTGAGTTTTGTAATCTTTGCAATTAACTGTTTCTATCTAAACAGATGTTCCATTCTTTTCTCATAGTGACTCCCTTAAATGCTCTATGATCTGTGTATTAAAATGCATTATATAACCAGTAACCAATTCTATATTAAGTGAGAAAAACAAAAATATCAGTTCTTAGTACCCGGACAGAAGAATATGAAAATGGTCTTTGAATACAAAATTAATTAAAAAGTGTTAGCCCAACAAGCAATAATTTCAAAGACTTTAGATTTCTAATATTAGAAAATACCCTAGAGAATAGTTTCTACGAAGGAGTAGGGAAGCAGGAGGAGTTGGGAAGCAGGAGGAGTTGGGAAGCAGGAGGAGTTGGGTGGCCTCAACACAGGCCTTGTCGATCTCACGGACAGTTAGGAACCTGGGAAGACGTTAACATATTTCTCAAATTAAAGCAAGGAGATGAGCTTTTGTATCCCTTCATCTATCATTTACAAGATACAGGCATACCTCAGGTATCAATCTTAGCCTTGGGAAAAGAAATGAGTACCTTGGGACTAGAGGAGGAATGGTGTGGTAAACCGCAGCACCCGCTGGCTTCATATAATGTTTATCTCATCTCGGAATAGCTGTGCCAGGATTCTGACTGGTTCCTTTTTCTAGGAAAACCTCACTGAAGCTGGTCTGAGTTGCAACTAGCATGCAAATCTTTTATCCCTAATGTCTAATGTCAATTTATTTGCCCTTACCTGGTAATGTTTTGGGGGTCTACATGCCTTGCTATGTTTGTTCACCCAGACTTTTATTCCTGAGGGTTTTTTGACCCTGGTCATATCTTTCCCAGTCAGTGGCTGCTTTATTGGTCCATTTGCCATAAAGCCTGAGCAGAATCTTTCAAAAGATCATCCAAAGAATCAATCAAGGTGCCAAGCACATTCTTTTCTGATGGCATTTTTAGCCTCAGTCCTTCCTTCTATTGATAATGAAGGTCAGTTTTCCTGAGCAAAATGGTGTCTACCTTCCTTGCCTCCTGGTCTCTTGGATCAGTTAGTAGTCTTAACTAAAAGTTTAAACTCCTAATACTCAGCTGTGTACAAATTTCCATCTCTGACAACATAGAGTAAATAGTGAATAATTTACAAATTTAGTGTCTGTAGATTTTAAAAGTACCCAGTAAATAGCACCTATCTTCTCTCTCTGAGTTTTAAAGCAGTAAGAAACAGACATAGAAGTCGGGCAGATCGAGATCAAAATATTGTTTTTCTTTTTAACTGATAGAGGCAAGGTTATAACTTAAGCATGTGGCAACATTGGGCTTCCTCATTCAGGACCACAATTGAGCAGGCTCACTTAGTCAGAAGTTTGTTAGATAACTGCAGGCCTCTTTTTATAGGGTAGTCTTTAATAATTTAAATTTATGAGATGTAAGTACAGAGCAGAACATTTGCTCTTTGAAAGCAAAAGCACCCCAAGAAGAAAAGGAAGGTCTGAGAAAGCAGAACTCGTCCCAATACTTACTTTTATCCAATTGTATAATTCATTTCTCATCTTAGAAAACATGGGTATCTTTAGCATATTTTTATGGAAGAAAAAGCTTAAGTTGAGATGTAAGATAAATAATACAATTATATTGACACTTTCAGGTTAGGCAGGATCTGTGAATATGAGTGTTGACTCTCATTCATAAAATATATATGTATATATATAATTTATAAATCATTTATTAACCTACATTTTGGAGCATAAAATATTCCCATGTGCATCTAGGGGTTATTCTTAATCTTCCATCTCAATATGCATAGCTATGTAGTTTTGTTTTCTGAAATAAATTTGACCAAAGATCATCACAAGAGGATACTCTGACCTCAGCCTACATCTTAGTTTCTCTCCACAATCAGACATAGTAATGAAGTTGCAATGCCTTTTTGTTCCTCACCTAAACTTCTTTTATTATTACCCAGGCATTGTAAAAACAAACAAATCAGTTACACTAAGGGCACTAACTCATCAACTCTACCTTTGCTTTATCTTTGAAATGTTTAGATCTTTTGGATTTGGCTCAGATCTGAGATTTCCACAGCAATATTTCAGTTCATAATAATCTCTCAATTTCTTGAGGAAATCAACATTTATTTTCAGTACTATTCAATATTTTTTCACAATGAGTACTACCATAAATCTTGTTGCCTCCTTTATATATTAATGAAGTTTGAATAGTGTCTCATTGCTGAATAACTGAATGATGGCTGAATGTGTGACACTTCTTCCGACCTTGAGTTGTTAATTTCAAAGTATATGCTGTGTTTAGGGACATTATTTCTGTAATGAAGAAGGTGAAGGGATTTCTATGTGAATGGTATATTGGAAGGAGCCAAAGGGTTACTGCCTATATTTGAGTATGTAAAAAAAAAAAAAAAGGTAAACAAGAAAATATATTTCATATAGTATGTTTTGATAAGTCCTAGTTCTTCTCAACTGTGGAAACTTGACAAGTTACTTAAACTCTTTGATACACATACTCTCTATTTTCAAAATGGTACAGGTAATAGTAATTAATTCAAAATGCTATTATAAGAATTAGACGTAATTGTTTGAGTAAAATATCTGGCAGAATTTACTCATTCAATTCAGTCTCAACTAAATTGTATTATATCCTAAATTATTGTTCTATAAATTATAGAAAATATCTTGATTGCAACCCTTTTTAATTTTGATTCCCCTCCAGAAGTTTTACTCAAAATTTCTGAAGCCCTTTTTATTTTAATTTTGTCTTAAAAAACAATACTCTGAATGGTCAACGTTTTAGCAGTGGTTTTTGAAGTAAAACAATGCTATCATTAATATGAAGAGTGTAAGAAATAGGTAAATTTTCTAAAACGCAACAGAATTTGTGACGATCTTGAGTTATATTATGAAGAGCTCTTCAACATTAAACAAAAATTATCAATTTGAGACAGTGAATCCCTGTCTCAAATTAATTGGAAATCAAATTTGTAATTAAGACTTAGTGGCCGGGCGCGGTGGCTCACTCCTGTAATCCCAGCACTTTGGGAGGCCGAGACGGGCGGATCACGAGGTCAGGAGATCGAGACCATCCTGGCTGACACGGTGAAACCCCGTCTCTACTAAAAATACAAAAATTAGCCGGGCATGGTGGCGTGCGCCTGTAGTCCCAGCTACACGGGAGGCTGAGGCAGGAGAATGGCGTGAACCCGGGAGGCGGAGCTTGCAGTGAGTCGAGATCGCGCCACTGCACTCCAGCCTGGGCGACAGAGCGAGACTCCGTCTCAAAAAAAAAAAAAAAAAGACTTAGTTAATTTCTCTGTGCCTGTTGTAAATTTATTTTCACATTTTGAAAGATGTTAATATTTCTGTATTTCCAGATGAGTGAGTTGGCTGAAGCTCAAACTCACTTAAGCCTTTGTTTCCTTTTTCTCAATGTTGTTTAGAGATGGCATACATCTTTCATTTCTTCCAAATAACAATGTGCTGCCTTACCATTTAGATTACTATTATTTTGTTCTTGTGAGAGAAAGATATAAATATATGTATAAATGATATGTGATATATATAACATGCTTATATGTACAAAATTAAAATTTCCAAATTTAACCCAATATCAGAACAATATATTTTTCATTTAATATTTTTATTGAATATTGTATTGTTTTTAATATCTTTGATAGCTTTCTTTCTTTTCTGTGTTATGTATTTTCTTCTTAATCTTAGCAGTTAGTAGCTTACAAAAAGTCTCAATTTATAAATGGTCTATATTCACAATCTTTGCAATGTTACTTTGTAGCTGCAACTAATAAAGGGGTGGTGTCTATTCTCTACACTATAAATTGGAGCTGGCTTGTGACTTGATTTGAAAAATATAATAGGAGAGAACGGTTGTTCTGCCATTTTTTGCCCAGGTTCAAAAGGTCTTTTTAGTTTCCACTGACTCTGAGAATCCTGCTGTCATGTGTTAACCTGCTTAAGGAAGCCAGCGCTAGCCTGCTGCATTATGAGGCAATGTTGATAAGATAGCTTATACTAACTGACACCAGCCAAAGAGACAACCAGCTACTACACATGTGATGTAGCTATCTTACAGTAGATATGCCCAGTTGACACATTATATGCATGAGTGACCCCAGCCAAGATGATCTGAGCCTGAAAAAGCTGAACAGAACAACTCAGTTGACTAATAGATTCCCAAGTAATAGTAAATTCTGATTTTTATAACTCTATAAGATTTGTGACTGTTTGTTACAATTGTTATGATTTATCTAGCTACTTTTAGATCAAAATAAACCTTTTTAACAACTTTTGGTTAAATAGGTAATAATATATGATAGAACTGGTACCTTATTTGGTACTCATTTTTTCAAGGCTGCTGTAGGAAATTATTTATTTCACAAAAAACATTAATTTTATTAATATTTTAAAAAATTTTACTTTAGAATTGTATTTGGCTCAGGTTCTCAGAGGGAATCTATAATAAACTAAGTTTGTTGGAAACTAAAGATGAAATCCTTTATTCCAATGTGTTCAAAGACTTTGAGTTTTATTCTGTGAAGAATGGAGAGGAGGGATGTATAGAGGCCACAGGAAATATAATAATTGATGTAGGGATAGATACTATGGCAAATATCCTAGTGTTACTTAATTATATTTCAGTCATGCCTGTGTTTCTCTCTGTAGATTATATCTTCACCAGAAAAACATCATAATCAAAGTTCTTATGCTATTACTATGATTAGTGTAAATATTAAAGTATATCCAGTAATATAATTAATACAATTATCAAATTTTAGAAATGGAAAAAGCATATAACTCATCTCCTTTATTTTGCAGATGGTGAATTTTTCTTCAAATGTGAAGTGATTTGTGTTAAGTCCAAGTAGCTATTTAGAGGCAAAGTTATAACTAAGACTAAAGATGCATACTCTTCACCCAATGTTCTCTCTATATACATATAACATGTGTTGAAAGAGTGACTCTAGGTAAAGTAAATCCATGACCAAAAAGTTAAAAATGTATCTTTGGTTAGTTAATTAAACCAAATTCAAACCTGCAAGTAAAGCCTTAATAAGATAAAGCCTCTTTTAATTTTTAAATTTCTCTTATTGGAATGGAATTTACATAAGAAAAGGATTCACATTATCCACAATAATTCTGAGATGTGAGAAAAATGTGCTCAGAATTCTTTTATTAAATAGCATACATTACTCTATTTAGACTATTTATATTAGTTGTATGAATTTCCTTTCCTAATAGTTTATTTCTTATCACTCCAATCTTCTTTGCCTGTGCAAACATTGACTTTGATATGCCACAATCATTCTCAAATTGTCAGGGTTTTTTTTATTTTTGTGATTTATCTGAATTTTCTATATAGTACCCTTATTATAATGTCTACTTATTTATTGGTTTCTCTTTTCCAATAAATTTTTATATCTAATGAGTTCACTACCTCATTATCTAGCAGAATCTATAACAGCTGATGTTTGATCAGTATTCACAGATTTAGTAAAGCAATGAATATTGACTGCATACATTGTTTTCACCAGTGATCCAGATTAAGTAATGCAATAGTGGTTTCTGTCAATTGAGAACAACCAAAAGATTTTTGCACTTAAATTATCTTTTGTTAAGTACCATGCCAAAGTTGTAAAGCTCCTCTTTGTGGAATGAGACGTCGTATCATAGTTTACGTTGCTTTAATCAGTTTAGCATGCTCACAATATAAACCTCAGTGACCTAAGAATTTGATTAGAGGAGGTAGAAGGAAGAACGTAAAGATGAAAAATGAACGTGGAAAGAGGAAATTGGCATTTTGGAACTGATGAAAGTTGAAACTTACGAGAGTAATCCAGTCAGTGTTCAGATGCACAGAAGTCCACCCTTATCCACAAGTGATATATTCTAACACCCCAGTGGATGCCTGAAGCCACAGACAGCACTAAACTCAATGTAGTCCAGGAAGATTTTTATCTATATACATACATATGATAAAGTTTATTTTATAAATTTGGTGCAATAAAACATTAACAATAACTAATAACAAAATACAACAATTGTACTCAGAATGACATGCAATTTAAAACTTATAAATTGTTTATTTCTGGAATTTTTTATTTAATATATTTTAACTGCAGTTGACTGCAGGTTACTGAAATTACAAAAGCAAAACTTTAGATAATGGGAGACTGCTATATACAGAATATACAAATAGGGTACTCCAGGAGTTTGTAAATTGTGCACCAACTCAAAATTCTCTTCAAGAAATGAAGAGATTTTTTTTTGGAGGTGGCTACATGAGTAAAGGTTTGAAAGGAAAGTAGGAGTTAACCTGAAATGGTATGAGGGATGAAGTGAGATAATATTCCAAGCAGCGTTGCTGTAACAAACTAGGAATTCCATGAGACACCACCAAAAACTCATATTAGGAAATCACTTAACAATTAACCGAGACTCAGTTAAAACACAGCAACTACCAAGAATGTTTTCAAAAATACTACATAATGAAACAATGTAGAGGTCCTTTTGTACTATCTAACAAAGAATCTGTGTGTTTGTGTGTTAAATATTGTTCTAAAAGTTTTTATTATTTTACTACTACCTGCACAAATAAATAAATAACTAAAGAAAATCTACAGTATCTTGACAGAACATATCTGTAGAAATTATTTACATTGTTGCTTTCAATTTTGAAGTAGTTTATGAATTTGAAGTTAACAAAATTGATTTTATTACTATCTTTAATGTCTCATGGTATCCTTTATTTCTAAGTATTCCTGAAGCTTAGAGCAATTGCAATTTTTCACATACTTCACATAAGAAGACATGAATTTATTCTCATGGGAGCTTGTCTAATGCTTCTACTCATGTCAGTAGAATTGCCTTTAGGCTATGATAAGTACATTTATTTATGGCTTTTGACACTGACGATATATTAGCCTCCTTCAGTTTTAACAAGGAGTTATTGTGCAGAATTTTGAAAGCAACTGAAATTGCAGAAGTCCATAATTAATTACTGAGACAAATAGATCTTTACTGTTCAAGTAAATTTGTAATTTTAGAATTACAGAAATAAAAACTCCTCAAGCTATACAGCAAACCACTGCTGTAGTCAGGAGGCAGTAATATCAGTAACAGCAACAGGTAGAAGGTCATCAATCTGGTAAAGGATCCCTGCTAATATGGTTTCGCTCTGCATCCCTACCAAAATCTCATGTACTGTGGTAATTCCCAGTGTTGTTGGAGGAGAGGGTGAGGTGATTGAATCATGGGAGAGGACTTCCCCTTGCTGTTGTGATGAGAGCTCTCAGATCTGATTGTTTGAAAATATGTAGCACCTCCCACTTTCCTCTCTCTCTTTCCTGCAGGCCATGTGAAGATTTACCATCTTCCCTTTCACCTTCTGTCGTGATTTTAAGATTCCTGAGGCCTCCCCAGAAGCCAAAGCCTATACAGCCCACAGAACCATGAGCACATTAAATCTCTTTTCTTTATAAATAACCCAGTCTCAGGTATGCCTTTTTAGTAGTGTTAGAATGAACTAATACACCTGCCATAAAAATGTTGCTTTTTCTCTACCTCTTTTCAATTTATGTTAATATGAAATCAATTTTGAAAATGTATCTGACTGGAAGAGTATGAATAATGTCTGAAATTCTAGCTATAAGGAGCTATGGGAAAATGTTGCTTATAAACACTTCATCTTCTAAATTATTGGAAGGTGTTCTAAGAGGGCTGTAATATCAGTATCAATGAGCCCATATGTCATCTCTCTGGGACTAACTTTATTTATTCAGTTTCCATATATATGCCTTCCCTCCATATTTAAGCTTCTTGATGAAAACAGTAACAAAAATAAGCACATCAATACCATGTTGTTATAGCATCTATAAATGAAAACAGGGCCTCAGATGTTGTATAAGTCATTGTATCCCTTTAAGTGATTTTTCTTATGGTTCAGTCATAATCTTGTTTAGATAATCTATAATCTCACCAGTAAATTCTAATTTTAACAACACCAGCAAATATGATTGAAAAATATCTTAGTGGGGCTGGTTAGATCAAATAATTGAAAATCTTAGTCAATATAAATATATACATAAAAAAGCAAGGAAGAAATTGTTGATACTTATGTCAGTCTTCGTTTCTTTCCTTCATCTGCATGTTACTTCCCCCTCAGCCAGCATTTTAAGCTTATTATTCAACCCTTGGAGCAAGACAAATCTTTTCTTTTTCAGTATTTGGTGGTCCTGCATGCATTGCATTACCGTTATTCTCTATTAACATCTATCAGGGGACATTGATAACTGAAGTAATTGTGGTCAGTTTCAGGATTGAGTTCCAGGGCTATATTTCCATTTCCATGTTAGCAATTATACCGTTCTAATCCCTTGATAATCATGATTAATTTTACAAGCAAACCCCCTTTTTGCCTGTTTCATTATGATCATGTGGTGTCTAAATGGCTACATGACCATATCAACAGCTCCTTTAATGTAACCATTGTTGTATACCCAGTGTGATTGTCTCTCCCTTGGGGGCCAAGTCCTCCAAACAAGCAAGGTCCAAAACAGTGGAGATGGAAAACTGAAAAAGTATTCAAATAGCTCATTAGATGTAATAGTGTTAGATATCTTCCTCATTTCCTTGGCTTATTATTTGTCCTTGAATTTCCATTTTTAACAAAGTATTTTTATTAATAGTTAATCAAAATAAGCTGCAATAGATTCATCAAACTCCACTTTGTGCTTTAAATTTGGCCATGTTCTGAGTTAGGGTGGTATGAAACGTGTGCAGTGAATAGAGTTATCAGTTTACAACACGGCTCAGTCAGTAAGACACCAACAGTAACTCATCCCTCTTTTCCTGACGTTTTAAAAACATAATATATCTAAAGTCCCTCTTTCAAGGACAGCATGCATAATGCACACAGATAAAATAATGTATACTTGAATATTCAGGGCCAGGGACAGACAACTCCATTTGGTCATGGGTAGCTTTGAGACAATCGGAGGTTTTTGCCCCTAATGGTCAAGTAGTATACCAGATATTTGTGATATGATTCATGCCATAACCTGATGGATAAATTAAGACACAAGACAGGTGACCAGTAAGAAAGATGAGAAATCATTAGATGCAAATATGATGCAAAAATTTTTGTGCAACACCACAAAATGTTAGAATAGATGCAAAAATGCTTGTGTGAAATAGAGCCTGAATAGTCCTGCTATCCAACATACAGAGGGTAGTCAATATTTTTATGACATTGGTGTTGCCTTAAATTCTTGTGTGTGTGTGTGTACATATGTTTTCTTTTTTCTTTGGCAAATGCTAGAAGTAGAATGAATCATGTAGTCATCTGTCACCTGTATATCATATTTTCACATGTTGATTTGTCATCCATATATCAGCTATCAATGTAGTTTCTGTTTAAATATTTTCTCCACTTTGCATTGGATTTTTTTGTTTGGGTTTTCCTTTTTATATTGAGTTGTGAGAGTTCCTTTCATATTCTCAATACAAGTTCTTTATTAAACATGTAATTTGCAAATATATTGACTTACATGTGGTGTATTCATTCACACCATAGGGAATGAAAAGGCATTTAAAAGTTTGTGGATGATGACTATTTATTAATGATTTATTTTGTTGATTTTGCTTTTGGTGTCATATCTAAGAAAACGTTGCCTAAATCAAGAGTACAGATATTTTCTCCTCTGGTTACTTCAAGAAGATAATTTTGTAGAAAATTCACATTTCATTAATATTGTGTGTTTCAGCTTTAGGGTAGGGGCTGGTTTGCTAGTTTCTTTTTCTCAATGTTTCTACTCTACTCTTAGCTTTAAGTTTTTTCATGAAAGTTAGTGCCTCAGAGAGTGTCTTTTTCATACTCTTGTCACTTCCTTAGTAAAATGTTCTTGCTTGCACTTGCTGGCTAGCCTGTTGGTGGGTGCAGCACATTTAGTTAGCTAGTTAGTTTGCATGTTTGTTTTTGAGACAGGGTCTCACTTGTCACCCAGGCTGGAGTGCAGTGGGTCGATCATAGCTCACTGCAGTCTTGACTTCCTGGGATCAAGCCATCCTCCCACCTCAGCCTCCCGAGTAGCTGGAACTACAGGCGCATACCACCCTGCTAGCTAATTTTTCTGTTTTTGTTAGAGACAGAGTTTCATGATGTTGCTCAGTATGGTCTTGAACAGCTGGGCTAAAGTGATTAGCCCACCCAGGCCTCCCAAAGTGCTGGGATTACAGGCATGAGCTACCAGGCCAGTCCAGGAGTTCTTGACTGTCTTGAACAAAGACAGTCAAGATACATGCCTGTTACCTTTAGACTCTCTCAGTGGATTTTTACCTCCCTAGTTGTTGGGTATCACTTATGATCGGGACTCAGGACTTTTTTTGTATTTCCTCTTAGGCTTTTTTCCCCTTTCCTTTCCTCTGCAGCAACCAGTCTTCACTTGTGTCCTGGAAGCAACAGAGTTTGTTAACTTTCCTCAGAAACTTAATGCCTTAGATGCCTGTAATCCCAGCACTTTGGGAAGCCATTGCTGGAGGATCACTTGAGGGCAGAAGTTTGAGACCAGCCTGGTCAACAAGGGGAAACTCTGTCTCTACTAAAAATACAAAAATTAGCTGGGTGTGCTGGCGGGCGCCTGTAATCTCAGCTACTCAGGAAGCTGAGGCAGGAGGATTGCTGGAACCAGGGAGGTGGAGGTTGCAGTGAGCCAAGATCGTGCCATTGCACTCCCAGCCCAGGCAACAACAGTGAGACTCGGTCTCAAAAAAAATAAATAAAAATAAAAAATTAGCTGGGCGTGGTGGCATGCATCTGTAGTCCCAGATACTTGGGAGGCTGAGGCACAAGAATGGCTTAAATCTGGGAGGTGGAGGTTGCAGTCAGCCGAGATCATTGCCACTGCACTCCAGCCTGGGTGACAGAGTGAGACTCTGTCTCATGAATAAATAAATAGAAACTTAACACCTGTAAGGTACACGGATGTGCTTTGGTCAAGGAATAGGCTGAGGTGGACATCTGGGCCAGAGTGACTCAGCAGGTTTAGGGCCCAGGTACATACTCTCATTGTTATATAACCTGTTTGTGTAAGCTCATACTTAGCTCCAAGCCACTATTGTTTGAAAAGGGTATAACTGCCCTGCTGACACTGTACAGGCTTGTGGTCTCATGCCCAGGAAGAGAGAGAGACAGAGAGAGAGAGAATAATGCTATTGACCCCTACAATGGAGAGCCTGTCGCCTTGAAGGCAGGCAGAGGGGCACCAGGAACTGGTTTGTGCCCAGAGGGAAAGAGTTAAGCTGCTAATTCTCTAAGGGAGAGTTAGCCTTGTAGGCCAGTCATACAGCTGTGTCTGGGAGGTGGGAGCGGCAGGAGCCACAGAGTTAGAGCCAGAGCAGGCTGCTGAGACAGAGGAGAACAGTGTGAGAGAGCTGCTGATGAGAGAGCTGCTGATGAGAGAGCTGCTGATGAAGAGAGCTGCTACAGCCCCTGTGTGTTCTTTCAAATCCTCACTGACAATTCACCCACTCTCCTTGGACCATAGCATGGGCTGGAACTTGACACTGGGTCTGACAACACCTTAGTTCTGTAGGGGAGAAGAATCACCATCAAAGTTTCTGCTTTTTTCCACAATGGCAACTGCTCTCTCCTTCCTTGCCTGCTCTAGCTGGGAAAATTTTATCATCTCCTGCCTTGTTCTTAGTCTTTCTCCTGGGTCCCAGCGAAGATGTATGAAGAGTGTTGAGCTGATTCATCCATCCCCTGGTATTTGTGGGTTTCTGTACTCTAAAGCTAACCAATACCCAAACTTTAGCAATTTGTTAAAAATTTCACTTATTGCTTCTTAATCACTTGCATGGTGGTTCTGGCAAATGGGAGCCGGTGCTTGCAACCTTATTCTTCTTGGAAAGCCTTCCTTTTTTAGATTTCAGAATAACAACTTGCCTTGCAAATCAACTCTCTGTTGGCCTCAAAGAGAGTTATGATTTTGTAGATCTTGTTTATTCTTTTTGTTAAATGAAGTGCTGCTCTTTACAGCTTTCTATATTCTAATTGTTGGCTCCTTCAACAGAACTTAGCAAATAGTTAAATAACACAAATTTTATATCGATTTCTTCAAATAATTCAGGTAAAAAATCAGTTAATTCCAATAACAGTTTAAATTTTTCATCCAACTTATGGACTCAGGAAAAAGCCCTTGACATGTACTTTTGTCCCACGTGAAATATATGATATTATTGCTGTTGGAAATAGTGTTAAAAGGCTTTACATTAAACATAATGTATTTGGAGTTTTTTGGTTGTAACATTACAAAAATTGATAAAGTACATTATATGATTATAAAATATGTTGTTTCTAAAGAAGGAACTTACAGACTAAAGAAGCACGTATTAACTTTGGTGAACTTAGAAGTCAATTGCATCAAAAATCATTGAAATTTTTACTTAATCAAAATTGACTTTTAAAGTAACCAAATATTGTAAAATTATGTTTATGTCACACAGATTAATTTAACTGTCATTTTTTAAATGAAGGTGATATTAGGAGCAAAAAGAAATGTTAACATTACAGCATGTTATTTATTTATCTGTTAGCCTTATCAGTTGAATACTGTGAATGCCTGAGATATTGAAGAACTAAATCAGATATCAACAAATGCATCATAAAATTGCGTTACAATTTTAACTAAATAAGTATTTCATTTTTCAAAGGTAGTTGAAAAATCTCTATAAAATTCAATCAAATGAGCACTAAAATGTTAACATCTGAAGTTTTTATCAAATTGCAGTATTTTTTAAAAACTGAAAACAGAAATACGTTGAAACATATTGCTAAAAAAAAAAAACAAGAGAGTAAACTGAATGAATTAAACCATGAGAGCTGAAAAAGTATAAAAGTTTCTATTTTGAAATTATATAACTACATTTTGAAATATTTAGACTTGTGGAAAGAAAATGTTATGGAACCCCGATTTAGAACTAAATTAATTTATAATTAGCTCCAGAATTTATTGACATTCAATATGCTTATGATTTTGCAGCACCTTGATTTGGTGAATGATTCAAAGAAATCATAGAAACAAATTACTTGTTGAGTTTGTCCTCTAAAATATTTTTAAAAGAAGAAGCAAGTATTTGCTAAAATATCGAAATATAAATTTTTCACATTTTTATGTTAAAAATAATAAAAGTTAGATTATTCTCCACTCTGCAGAATTACTATGAATTTACTTGGTATTTCAGCATGTGTAGACAGAGCATAATGCCAATTAAAAATATTTTGTTGTTTTAAATAATATTAAAATAGAAAAGTCAATAGAGGTTTCAATATTTTGAAATTAACAAAAATTACAATGTTTAAGTCTATTTCAGGCTATTTCCTTAAAATAGTAAACATAGACTATATAAAGGCATTCTTCAAATACACAGCAGTGGCAAAATGTCAGAAAAAAACACAATATAAGAATTTCATTTTAACGTGTGAATATGTACTGAGTAATTATTCTTATTTTTAAAGTGTTCAGTTAAATTAGAAAGCTCTGTCTTGTTTTGTTCATAGTATTTTTAATTTTTTTTATTTTAGAAAGCATTTTAATTCTGGAAGTGGTTTTTAGTAGAACAATTCCATATGTTTGCCAAAATAATAAAACCACTTTTGCAGAGTAAATAAAGATTATAGAAATTATGTAACTTAAATTATTTTTAGCTTCTCATTTCCCTCTCAAAATTTCTAGGTTTGAAAAATTAACTTTACAGTGAATCTACTTATAGTATTACTGGATAGAAAGAATTTATTTTATTATATAACGAGGCAAAACTGTTACAGAAGATATGGGAGAACAGGGTAGCTAAGGATGTGAATGGAATAGAAGGCAGATATGTCTCAATTTTCAGTATCTCTAAAATTACAAAGAATGTGACATAGCCATGAAACCTGTCATGTAGCCCAGCAGGAAGTTTTTTTTTGACCAAAAAATGTAGTTAAAAAAATTCACATGGTCACTAGTGAGTGATTTGGGGGTTTATAATTTTCATAATCATAATCTAGATGTCAAATGTATAATATTTTATTTTAGATAGCTATTAAAATTTAATGGACTAGAAAATATTTTGTATATAGCAGATATAGTTTTAAATCAAATTATCCAGTTAGTAGACGTGTAATTCTCATATTTTTATATTTTTATTCATCTTTTTTAAAGGTAAGGAAACAAAGGCTCTCCTATTTACCTAATTTTAATAGGCTGTGGAACAAAGTTCATATCTCAGCACTCATGACCTCCTGGGTCTTTACCATAGTCTCACACCATCTTTCCATTCATGTGTTTGTTTTCACTCAGGGATTTCAAGGCAAATAATTTTCTAGGACAGAGTTATTTATATAATTTACCTTGGAGAACATTCCATTTATTTATTATATGTTTATGTGTATTTGCACATGTGTAATTTGAAGATTTAGAGGCAACCTATTCTGAACAAACAACAAAACCTGTTCTGATATAATCTAGACCATGATAAAAGGATAAAAATGAGCCAGATTAGGGAAAAGAAATGGCTTAAAAAAAAAGCCAAAAGAAAGAATTAATTTAAAAGAAATGTCATAAGAATAATTTTGCTAAAATAAGCACTCATTTGTAAGTTGAAAATTAATTTAATTAAAAGTCATCTATAATGTATAAGCAGAGTTAACATAATCAGTGCTTTAAGTATCTTTATGGATGAAAAAGGGAGTAAGAATATAAGGAAAATATAAATTGAATATTGTCTAATGGGTGTAAATTTTTTTGAAAATAATTTTTTTATCAAAAAGCTTTATTCATAAGGCACTATTAGATTGTGATTAAACAGATAATCTGAGAGAGGGTTTATAATCTTAGTAAACAGTATGTAATATGCCTGCATGATTATTAAATTAAAAATCTTTGAAAAAATAATGAATTATCATATGGATATTTTGTAAGACTATTTAACTGCTCTTTAAATTTAAAATTATTGGTAACGAAAGGAGTGTTATGTTCTTCTTTGATAAGTAACCACTAAAGCAATAAGTAAGGACTTCAATATGTAGGCTATATTCCCAATGACTTTATTGAAAATGAATCATTTTATTTACAAATTCAAACTTGGATCTTAAAAGGCAGATAATCAGATTCAGTGTTGGGCAGACCTATGTGTACCTGTTTTCTACAAAACCACACTATAAAATTTCAACAGTATATTATATCATGGAGTACATTTATTTTTCTCCAAAAATAATCTGCAAAGCATCATCTTAAGAATGCAAAATATAACTCTTGCCAAATGAGCCATGCAGCATATACTGTAGGGTTTGTAAAACATAAAACATTAACTGAAAAGCTTTATAATGAGAGATGACTGCATTTATAGCAAACATCAGTCTACAAAAGAGATTTAAGAAATGTGTAGACAGGTGTGATGGCTGACTTGATAAACAGCAGCTGTGATCTGTGTGCAGTTTCTAAGTAGAAGATTAAAGAAAGAATTTTCAGTTGTCACATTTCTAGTTTTTAGTCTATACACTAATTTAAATATAGTGATGATTTAACAATATTGTTGAGTCAGCAATTTCTTGATTAGCCATGATAATTGGCTGTAGAAATCACACTAATAAAAGTCACAGAGAATATCCAAAATAAGCCAAAAGTTTCAACCACCTCCCTTAAGAAAGGTTTGCATTTTGCTATAAGAACCAAGTAAAATAATATGTTAATTATTTGAAACAAAATGCTAATTAATAACAAAGTATACCAAAAATGAGATCAATAGGGAAAACAAATCTAAAATGTATCAGTCAATAGCTAGCATTTGGGGTGCGTTTATCATATACCAGACACTGAACTAAATGCTTTCGATGGATTACCTCATTTAACTCACAAAACAATACCATGAGGTAAATATTATTACAAACACCAGCAAAGAGACTGAAGCTTAGAATACATGAAAATATACTCAAGGCCATATAAATAATGGCCAAGGTTAATATCTAGGCAGAGTATGATTTCACAATGCTACACTCTTAACCCCTGCTTTCTGTTGTTCTCTTGGGTTTTTAATATGGGAGAGGAGGGGGGACCACACAAATCAGAGATGCAATGATAACTGTGTTTAATAAGAATGCCAGGCTGGGCCCGGTGCGGTGGCTTATGCCTGTAATCCCATCACTTTGGGAGGCTGAGGCGGGTGGATCACAAGGTTAGGAGTTCAAGACTAGCCTGGCCAATATGGTGAAACCCCATCTCTACTAAAAATACAAAAATTAGCCGGGCATGGTAGCGGGTGCCTGTAGTCCCAGCTACTTGGGAGGCTGAGGCAGGAGAATCGATCTCTTGAACCCAGGAGGTGGAGGTTGCACTGAGCCGAGATTGCACTACTGCCCTCCAGCCTGGGCGACAGAGCAAGACTCCATCTCAAAGGAAAAAAAAAAAAAAAAGAATTCCAGGCCGTACCCATGTCTCATTTAGTTATATTGAGGCCAAATTTATTGTTTGATCTCATCACATTCTAGACACAGGGTCTTTCAGAAAAACTCTTCCTCCAAAATGTCTGTCCTATGAAATAAAGAATATGTGCTTACATGACTCTGGAATACATACACATATAATTCAATTAGTAAAAATACTCCTCCAAAGGTGAGGTAAAATTCGATAGTAATGGTGTGGATAGGGTTTGCAGGCAGGAGGAGAAAATTTTTGCTGTGAAAATTAAGGTTCACTTTATAAAATGAGGATAATAATAGACTAATTTAGAATTTAAAGAATAAAATGAGCTAATATATATAAAGATTACTTATAAATGAGATGATTTTATAATTTTAGACATTTTTAAGTATTGAATGTTTTTTTTTCTACCTCTCAAATATTTCTTTAAAACCTTGACCAAATGAAGCCTTTTTATATTTTATTTTATTTCAGGAAAAATGCAGTCATGGTGATCATTTTAACAAGGACTATCTACAAATAAAAGTTGTTCTTAGAAAACAATGATACACTGCCTTTTAATTTTCACTGAAGTATTATAAGGATAAATAGAATCATAGAAATAATTTCTATAAAAATAATACTTATGCATTCAATGAGATATATTTATTATTATATTTTAATTTACTGTGATATTTAAGACAGTATTTTGGCCTTAAAGTCTTAGAGTTAAGGTCAGTACTATATGCACACTTGTGCTCATAAAGATGATCCCTGAATTGGACTGTCATGATGTATCAGTTCAAAAGCTATACTATACAGATAAAAATCAAGACAGTAGAAGTGACATTCATCTTATTAATTTTATGTTTTAAAAGTACATGTGACTACATCTCAAAAAGTCCATTTATATATGTCCACTTAATTAAGAAAATTTTATTCTATCATTGAAGCATTGTGACAATCCAAGTTTGGGTAAATTAAAATATTTAAATGTAAAGACACCTTTGTCAATATATTTAAATATGTTTTCTTCAAATGTTTAGAGGTGACATTTAGCTAATACAATCTTAATTGTGAAGAATTCAGTCAAACAAATCAACCAAATCAGAATGAGTTTCTATCTAGAAAGTCACACTTCATTTTTCAATTTAGAAAAACATGCTAATGCGTGCTTATGTGGTAATTCTGTTTTCTGATTTCTAATTCTGATAGAAAGGCGAGGCTAGGACCTTGCCATGGGTTGTTACCTGAATGTAGTAAAGTGCTGGTGCCATCAGTATTTCTTTCTGTTCTCTTTGCATTCTCTCTTGGGACTGTGATGACACCTGAAAGGTGTAATCATCAGGGGATAGAAGAGATGAGGTTATTAAATAAAAGCTGTTTTGACTTTCACCATGCTTTACAACATATCTGCATATAGGAAAAAAATATGCCATTTCATTGCCCTTAATAGTGGTATCTATGAAAGAGAGAGATTAAGGGATATTCCACAATTATGTATGTTTTAAATTATTTAGCAGTTTAGTACATGCACACCCCAGGAATCTATACCATAAAAAATTCCAAATGAGAGACATGCCTTTTTCTTTCTTTCTTTCTTTCTTTTTTTCTGAAGTTGGAATAGTTGAGAAGGCATAGAATGGGAAGGAGATGCTCAGTGAACCTTGTCAACAGTTACAGACAGCCTCAGGAAAGTCAGTTTTAGGAAAAGTCTATATGGAAGTCAAAAGACCTGGAAAGTTATTTCTATGAAACTCTGTGCCTTTGTACCACCCTGAAATTTGTCTATTTCTCAGGAGTGTGTGTATCATAATTTAAAGTAGTTTGCATGATCCTGAGGTAGGAAGCAGAACACTAATCTGGAGGTGGGGCTTGGATGCTGGACCAAATTGAGGAGTAGTCAAAAACGGTCTAAGGCAGAATCATCTCCCCATAAGACACTCCCATCAGTGTGCTATGTCAATTTACCATTGCCATGGCAACACCCAGAAGTTACTGCTTCTTCCATGGCAATAACTGGACAACCTGGAAGTTAACACCCTCCTTCTAGAAATTTATGCATAAACTGTCCCTTAATTTGCATATAATTAAAAGTGGATATAAAAATGAGTGCAGAACTGCCTCAGAGTTGCTCCTCTGAGCACACTACCTGCAGGGTAGCCATGTTCTTCATGAAATTGTACTGCTGCTGTACACCAGCTCGCCCTTGAATGTTTTCCTAGGTGAAGACAAGAAGCCTCCTGGGCTAGGCCTCAATTTGGGTGCTTGCCTGCCCTGCATCAATCCTATACTGACCTCTGAATAATGCAAAGTGAAGAATGAAAGTATAAATATACAACTAAGCTCAGGTGATTCACTAGAAGTTTTGTTCTTCAATTCTCTTCAATGTAACTTAGTGCAATGCTGTTCATAATTCAAAAATGGATTATATTGTTGGGCCAAAAAATCAAGTTTTTAAAAACACTCTTCAATATTAACTCAGTGTTTATTTTATTGCTTTCTGAGAATTGTTAATTTGTTTCAACATAATTAGATTCAAATGGAATATAAGCTGCAGTTTTAATATGAATTCAAATTATACTTGGTTTCAAGAAGCCAAGCTACATCAATGATAATAGAAGTTTTTCTGGAAAAAATGTGCTGTGTCAATATATGAATCTTTGTTTTTTATGAAATCAAAGAAATGAATGTAACTATTTATGTAGAGCTACAAAGAGAGATGTGTCATAATTTATAATTGAAGTAGTGTTCACATATGTATTAAATACCTAGCAAGTAAAAAGTATAAAAAAGTGTTTGAGTGAATAAAAAGGCCTTTGCCTAGTTTATTTTGTGTGTTTTATCTTGTTATACCAAGACAAATTTAAGAGCACACATATTATAGTAACCACCATCTTTTTTTGGAGCAAATTTTGAATTGTCAAGAAAAATATAACATGTTTGACATCATAACACCAAGGAAAAATGTAAAAGGTATATTCATTATAATTTTCATTTCAACAGAAATCTAGTACAAGCTAACAAAACAATAACAACTACGATAACAGCGAAAACATAAACCCCAAGTGTTTGTTTCTAAATGTAGTGTGGTTTATGTTTACCTGGTTTTAATTTATTTTGATGTTATTTTTCTGGTCACTCATGAAAATATTATAGTAATAACATCTAACTTAAAACTGAAATCACATTTAAATTATTCATAAAGCATAGTTTTACGTTCTTTTGAAAGATAATCAAGTTTTAATGCCACTTGAAATGCCTTTCTGTCCCTTAAGTAATCTCAGTATCTATTGCAACTGTTTCTGACCAACAATAGAAACAGCAAAATGAATGGTGTAGTGCTGGTTTGATGAAGATGTAGCAGAAAAAAATGGAGATTCTTTCCAACAAGAAAAATATTCATAAACACTATCATGGCTATAGGTATTTAATAGATCCAATCTGTGAAATTTTTGAAGATTTTTCTCATAAATAGATTCAAATTATTTTTGCCTACGTGAAATCTGTTGTTAATGTTGAAAGCATCATTTTTTTTCAGTGCAGACAGTTTTCCCACAGAGAGGTGCACAAGATGACCTCTGAATTATGTAAAATATTGTTTTCTCTTAATTGATTCTATTTAAAATGTGGTTTTTGTTGGGAATTATTTGAAGACTTTTTAAATAAAATTAGTTCATCTGAGAATTTTGCATGGAAATTGTTAGGACAATGAAAACTATACAATATATAATACAATAAAGCTAATACTGATTATTTGGTAATCCATTTGTCCAAAGAAAGAATATATTATTTTCTCTAACTTTATAATGGATTAAATCCATTTTTATGCTTTCTTACTTTGCACACATGAGCTAGTGTGTGAAGGTTTATTTTAATTTCAAAAGCATAATAATATAAATATTTCGTAGATTATTTTGATTTTAAACATACTTTACATGGGAAAAAGCCATATCATTTATAGATTCTTTTCAGTTATATTGATTATTATAGTTTTCATTAGCTCCTCTTTCTTGATTTGCTGTCTTCAAATTTTTCAAATAATTAAGTGACTTTGGTGAATTAAGTTAAGTGAATTTGGCTTCTACTGTAACATAGAAATCTTGCCTGACTTTCTAGCCTGCCTTCCCACTTTCCAAATTTCAGACTCAAGACTAAATCAACTCTTGCCTGGTCAGGGCCCTTCCAAATATCTGACTTGCCAGTACATGTAATCAGGTGAACTAATTCCATAAAATAATATATTTTAAAATAAATTAATATATACTCATATATTATAATCTCTGTTTTTCTCAAGACTCCTGATTGATGAAGCTATAAATATGTATATTGGCTATTAAAATTTAATGTTTAATGTATGAATTAGTATGCATTATAATATTTTTCGTTATTAATGTTATTTATAAATTACTATAAATCACAGGGGAAATGTGATGTAGATTCTGTTTTTATACAAAATAGATTCTCCACATTTAAGTCATTCATTACTTTGCACTGCCCCCACTCGCAGCCTGTTCTATTAGTTTAATTAGCTGCTGGTAGAGAGCAGTCAACACAAACAATTTTCTGCTAATAGGATTAAAGTCTCTATGAGCACCTGTTACCTGTCAGGTATGGCTTTCATCTCATTCTTCAGTGCGAGGTGGGAGCCATTGCAAGAAGACATCCTTTACTATTTTCTGGAATGTAAATTAACACAAACGTAGGTACAATTTTTTAAACTTGTCCTAAAAACTCTAAATAATCACACACACACACACACACACACACACACACACACACACATTTTATTTATAGCTGTAGGAGATCCTGGATTTCTGTTGTTCTAGCTTAAATTCTGAGTTTGTAAATTTTAACAGTTCATACAAATTAGAGTTAATTTGTGAGTTAATCATATAACATTAGATTGAGATCTTATTTTATTTAAGATATTCACATATGCCAAAAAATCTGTAGAAGAGGCATAATTTTTTTTCATTTCTGCTATAATGTAAAGCATGTACTACACTTGAGAAAAAAATCATAAAAAGCATACTTTTACTGTACTGACTAAATCAATGGTAGTGAAATATATTCTTAGACTACTTAGAAGAAGCGAAATCCCAGTGTTATTCTTTAACTATACATGAAGGTAAACTGAATATAAATTGCTTTTGCAATGGATTTGAAAGCTTTTCTGCAACTATCTTGTCAATTTTATTGGCAGAGAAATGTAGTTAAGGCATTTTGTTCAAAATTTCTCTGTGAGAAAACCACTATTAATGGCAAGAATATTGAAACACTATGTTAGGAGATCTCAGTTTATCTTGTTCCCTTGTTCCCCAGTGCTGTGAATCTTTCTTTCTTTGTTGTTTGTTTACTGCTATCAAAGCTTTATCTTTCTATGGTTTAAAATGATTGTGATGTTCTTCTTTTTATAAGCTTTCAGTTTCTTTATATTATAACAATGCTTTCCTGGGTTTCTTCTAATTATTTCTAATAAAAATCTAGAATTCTTTTAATTTATATAGGCCAGAAGAAAACCAGTGAGTTTGATAAAATATGTACAAGCATTTTAGCCTTTTTCACAATTACTAGCATGAGAAAAAAAGCTGGTTTTTACAAGACTGATTTAAATTGAGACATGTAACAAAAAATGTTAATGGTATATACAAGAAAGAAATGGCAAATCACAACTGCTGTAAAAATATTGGATTAACTTATTTAATCATATGAATAATTTCCATAAAATTAAAAGAACATGAGCAGACATTTCACAGAAAAATTAATATGGCCAATAGAAATTTTAAAAATTGAAATATCTTCATTTTAAATAAAATATTTAATAATAAATATTAAATTATACACTGTCTTTCAGAATGGTAAAACTATATATATATATATATATATATGTTAGACCCACAGAGGTTCTTTAAGTAGGGAAAAAGACTCTTAAACATTTCTAATGACAGTGTAAATTGGTTCTATATTCTGATACACTGACAGTAACACAAAGAGATTTGTGCTACTATCAGTAACCTCAATTTTTTTTCTATATAGGTTTATTTCAAAAAATAATTAAAAATTGACATAAAGATTTAGGTGTAAGCATGTGTGATACAGAGTTTATTATCTTTAATTCAGTATATACTGAACATGGGATAAGTACCCATCACTTTGTTAGATGCTATGGACACTGTTACCAACCAAACTAGCATTTTCTCATCCTTGGAGACTAGAGTCAGGGGCGGAAAACTTGCCCCATAAAAGCAATTCTGCTTGGCCACTTCCTTATTGTCTGCTTATCTCCTGAGAAACTTTGGGCAGGTTTTATACCCTCTACATATCCTTCAGCATATAAAATATAGATATAATTGCTCCAAGGGTTTGTGGAATAAAATAAGCTAGTGTGGATAAAGTCCTGGAACAATGACTGGAGTACAGAAAATATTTATAAATATTGTTTGTTATTACTATTAGTAGTAGTAGTGAGACTCATTGGATGTGTAGAGAAGTAGTAGTGGTAACACTGTGTTCTACTCTCTGTTCATTCATGTTTGAATCATATAGACACTACTAGAAACATGAGGTATGGAGACTCTTTTACCTTAGTTGCCAATGTCAGACCTTTTACGAAAATAAAAGAAAATGTGGTGTATATACACAATGGAATACTATCTAGTCTCAAAAACAAAGAAAATTCTGTCACTTGGCATTTCTTTCTTGTATATAACATTAACAGTTTTAGTTATATGTCTTCAAATTGGTCTTGTTAAAATCAACTTTTTAATCATTCTAATAATTTTGAAAAACTACAGAAAGACCAATACTGCTTGATCTCACTTATATGTGGAATCTAAAATAGACAAACTCATAGAAGCAGAGGTAGAATGATGGTTACCAGAGCCTGGAGAAATGTTGGTCAAAATGTACAAAGATTCAGTTGGACAGAAAGGATAAGGTTATAAGTTTTTGAGATCTATTGCACAGCATGGTGACTACAGTTAATAATCATATTTTATATATTTCAGAATTTCTAAGACTACATTTCAAAAATAATAAGTATATAAGGTGATAGATATGTTAATTAGCTGATTTAATCATTCCACAATAGGCATACATCAAAATATCATATTGTATCCCATGAACATATGAATGTAAATTAAATATTTAAATAAATAGTCAAATTGCCTGCTTGAAAATTCATCTTTTTTTTCTATTGTCAGTTAAATACTTTTAACATACTTGAAATATTATCCCATCGTTGGTTCCTGTCTTAAATATAAACACCATCTTCCATGTATCTACGTTGTTGAAACAAAATTTTTACACCTTTATTTTCTTTTTTCATGCTTTTCTCTGTTGTGCATTCATTTGCTAACTCAGTGCCTTACACAATTGTTGGGGAATACAAAGTGGTTAGAACAATCTTGTCACATACTGAGCACTGTAAGCATATTTTCAGTTATTAGTATATAAAAAACTCCCCACTAGCAGTAATGTGCCATTTGCACTAATTAAAATATAAACTCTAATCCACACTTTTGGTTTTCAGACTGGCATGTAAGGAGCACTTATTAACTGTGGTGAACTCAGAAGTCAATTGCATCCACAATAATTCAAATGTTTACTTAATCAGAATAGACTTCTTAAGTTACCAAATATTTTAAAATTATATAAAATTATGTAAGGAGTTTGGCAGTCTTCACTTCAATCTAACAATAAGAGAAATTCCCAAAAAACTGAAAAACCAACTACTCTTCTAAGAGCCATCAGAGAACGGAGATCAGAGGATGAACTACTGCCTTTAAAATTTGAGAGATAGGCCGGGCGCAGTGGCTCACGCCTGTAATCCCAGCACTTTGTGAGGCCGAGGCGGGAGGATCACGATGTCAGGAGATCAATACCATCCTGGCTAACACGGTGAAATCCCGTCTCTACTAAAAACAATACAAAAATTAGCCGGGCGTGGTGGCGGGCACCTGTAGTCCCAGCTACTGGGGAGGCTGAGGCAGGAGAATGGCATGAACCCGGGAGGCGGAGCTTGCAGTGAGCCAAGATCATGTCACTACTCTCCAGCCTGGGTGACAGAGCAAGACGCGGTCTCGGAAAAAAAAAAAAAAAAAAAAAAAAAAAAAAAAAAAAAAAAAAATATTCAGAGAAAAGATACAATGCACTGAAATGTGTCACCCTAGAATTTATATATTGAAGTCCTATTTCCTGATGTGACTGTGTTTGGAGATGGAGTCCTTAGAAAGTAAATAATTAAGGTTAAATGAGGTCATAAGAATGCTATTCTAATCTAAAGAAGAAGTCTCTCTCTGCAGTGTTCACTCAAAGGAAAGATCATATGAGGACAAAGCAGACATACGCAAGTTAGAAAGAGAGAATTCACCAGGAACTGAAACCATCCAGAATCATAACATTGGATTTTTTAGCCTCAAAAACTGTAAGAAAGTAAATTTTACGTCTGAATTATTTTTTAATGGCAGCTCAAGCCGACTAATTCATAATTTGTTATTGAGAAATCGGATGCTTCTATAAGAAGTCCCTAAGATGTGGAAGTGGCTTTGGAATTGGTTGATGAGTAGAAGCTGGAAGGGTTTTAAGGTGCGTGCTAGACAAAGCCTAAAGACTATTGGTGGAAAAAATGGATATTAAGGGCAATTCTAGTGGGAGTTCAGGAAGAAAATAGAGAACTATACAGAAAGCCTTGATAGTCTTAGAGAATACATACATCATTAAAAACAATGTTGATAGAAATATAAATGTTAAAGGCAATTCTAGCGAGGTCTCAAATGATAATGAGGAACACATTGTTAGAAACTGGATTAAAGGCTAGTCTTGTTATAAAGTGGCAAATAACTTGACTGAATTGTGCTCTAGCATTTTGTGGAAGGTGGAACCTGTGCACAATTAAACTGGACATTTAGCTGCAGGGATTTCTAAGCAGATTGTTGAATGTGTGACCTTGCTTCTCCTTTCTGCTTATAGTAAAATGCAAGAGGATAGAGATAAATTGAAAAAATTGTTAAGCAAAAAGGAACCAGAGCTTGAAGATTTGGAAAATTCTTAGCCTATTTGTACTGCAAAGAAAAATATGATAAAGCATATTCTGAAGATAATGCTAAAGGTGTGGCTGAGCAACCATTTGATAAGGAGATTAGTACAGGTATGAACCACGGATCTAATCAACCATCTAAGCAGAGGCCACAAATGGACATGCAATTATAGCAGCAGAGATATAGCCAGTTTGTTTCAAAGGATACAAAGACAAGATGAGACAAGGTAAAGAAAGGCTTTGGGGATGAAATTAAGAAAGGCTTAATATACTTCTAATATTACACAGAAAAGGAAAATAGAGTTATTTGGCTCTAATGGGGCACCATTATTCAAGAGAAGAGGAGAATAATCCTAAAGGTGATTCAGAAATCATTAGGGCTGCCCCCTGAATTTAAAAGAAAGAGGCCATCACCTCTGTTTCAATAGGCAAGACTGCCTCCACTGGAGCCTTAGGAGTAGGAAGAACCCACTGGCACATTTGTGGGGGTAAGGCTTTTAATAGGGCCATAGAGGTGACACTTCTGTAGCAGTGGGCCTGGACGGCAGACCCTTAGACCAAAGAACATTATTTTCTGGCCTTAAGATGTAATAGAATTTGCTTTACTGGGCTTTGGACTTGCTTAGACCCTGTCACCCCTTCCTTCTTTTCTGTTTCTCTCTTTTCGAATCAGAATGTCAACCTATGCCTGTCCCGCCATTATTTTGATTGTTTGTTAATTTTTTTGAGTCAGGGTCTTGCTCTATTGCCCAGGCTGGAGAGAAGTGGTACAATCACAGCTCACTGCAGCCTCAACCTCCCATTGCCAGATACAAGAGATCCTACCGCCTCAGTTCCCCAAGTAGCTGGGACTGCAGACATGAGCCACCATGTCTAGCCTGTATTTTAGAAGCATATAGCTTGTTTCATATCATAGGTTCACAGCTGGAGATAAATTTTGCATCAGGAAGAATCATAAGTTGAGCCTCATCCATACTAATTTAGATGATATTTGGATGAGAATTTCGACTTCAGAAACTAGAGTTGATGCTGAAATGAATTAAGACTTTTAAGGATGTTGGAATGGAATGGATGTATTTTGCATGCAATAAAAACATGCATTTTGGCCGGGTGCGGTGGCTCACACCTGTAATCTCAGCACTTTGGGAGGCCGAGGCGGGCGGATCATGAGGTCAGGAGATCGAGACCATCCTGGCTAACATGGTGAAACCCTGTCTCTACTAAAAATACAAAAAAAAAGTAGCCGGGCGTGGTGGCGGGCGCCTGTAATCCCAGCTACTCGGGAAGCTGAGGCAGGAGAATGGCGTGAACCCGGGAGGCAGAGCTTGCAGTGAGCCGAGATCACGCCACTGCACTCCAGCCTAGGCGACAGAGCGAGACTCCATCTCAAAAAACAAAAAACATGCATTTTGTAAGGTTATGGGAAGCATGCTATGGGTTGAATTGTTTCTCCTCAAATTCATAGATAAAGCCCTTTATCTAAATGTGACTTAATTGGGAGATAGGGTCTGCTATGGTTTGAATATTTGTTTCCCTCCCAATACTTATATTGAAATTTAGTCCCCAATGTAGCATTATTGAGAGGTGGAGTCTATAAGAGGTAATTGGATCATCAGGCTCTGTCCTCATAAAATGAATTAATATGTTCTTAGATTAATGAGTTAATAAGTGAATGGATTATCACAAGAGTGGGACTTGATGGCTTTATAAGAAGAGTAAAAGAGACCTGAGCTAACAAGTTCAGCTGCCTGGCCATGTGATGTCCTGTGTCACCACAGGACTCTGCACAGAGTACCCACCACCAAGAAGACTGTCACCAGATGCGGCCCCTTCACTTTGAACTTCTCACCCTCCATAATTATAAGAAATGGGTTGCTTTAAAAAAAAATTACCCAGTTTAATATATTCTGTGATTAGCAACAGAAAACAGACTAAAACAGTGTATTCAGGAAGTTATTAAGGTTAAATAAGTTCACCAATATGGGATACTGATCCAATATGTCTATCTGTATGTGCTCAGAGGAAAGGCCCTGTGAGCAGAAACCTACCCTACAAGCCAGGAAAATAATGTTTACTAGAAACCAAGCCCTACTGTAGCTTTAATTTTGGACTTTCCAGCTTCCAGAGCAGTGGAAAAATAAATTTCTGTTGTTTAAGCCACAGAGTCTGTGGTATTTTGTCATGACAGCCTGAGCAGACTAATACAGAAGGAAAATAATGTAGGTAAGAAACTCAGATCTACATAAACAAAGAAAGAGCACTGGAGAAAGAATACATAGCAGTAAAATAAAACTTGTATTTTTTTATTCTTAATGTACCAGATAACTGTTTTTTTTTCAAAATAATAATGCCAACAATATATTTGATTATGTATGCTTGTATGTGTGTACACACTTATGTATAAATGAAATTCATGACAGCAATGATACAAAGGTTAGAAGGAAAGAATTGGGATTATGTTGTTATTACAATTACTTGCAGCATTTGTGAAGCAGGATAGTGTTATTTGAAAGTGGGCTTGGATTAGGTGTAAATGTATATTGCAAAAGCTAGGGCAAGTGCTAAGAAGTTTTAGTAAAAAGTGTAACTGGAATACTAAGAAAGGAGAAAATGGAATCCAAAAAGCAGAAACAAATATAGTAGATATTAATTCAACTACATCAATAACTACATTACATGTCAGTGATCTTAATACACCAATTAAAAGTCAGAGATGATCAGAGTGGATCAATAAAAAGACCAAACTATATGTTGTCCACAAGAAATTTACATTAAATATAAAGGCACATGGCATAGAAATATTAACTCTAGAGTGAGCAGACTTCAAACCAAGGAAAATTATCAGGGACAATGGGCATTGCATAATGACAAAAGGATCAAATATCTAGGAAAAAATGGAAATCTTTAATATGTATGTGGCCAAAAGAGTCAAATAAGTGAGGCAAAAACTGATAAAACTGCAACGAGAAATAGATGAATCCCCAGGATTTGAAAATTGGCAAAGACCTTGATGAACACCTCGTCAAAGAAGACCCATAACAAACAAGCAAGTGAAATGATGCTCCACATCATATGTTATCAGAGAACTGGAAATTAAAACAACAATAAAATATTGCTACATACCTATTAGAATGGGCAAAATTGAGAACACTAACAACACCAAATGCTGCCAAGGATGTCCAGCAACAGGAATTCTCATTCATTGCTGGGGAAATGCTAAATCGTATAGCCACTTTGAAAGACAGTTTGGCAGTTTCTTACGAAAGTAATCATCCTTATTCCATATAATGACTTGCTTTAATATTTATAGGAGTTGATAACTTAGGTCCACACAAATATTTGCATGTGGATGTTTATAACAGTTTCATTTGTAGTTGCCAAAAAATTAAAGCAACTAACTAAATCAATAAATGGTGGTTTAACCAGACAATGGAATATTATTCAGTGCTAAAAAGAAATGAGCTATCAAGCATGAAATGATATGGAGGAACTTTATGTTACCAAGTGAAAGGAGTCAATCTGAAAAAGCTACATACTTATTGATGCCAACTCTGACATTCTGAAGAAGGCAAAACTATGGTAACAGTAAAAGAATCAGTGGTTTCTGAGGTAGAGTGGAAAGCATAGATAAATAGGCAGTTCACAGAGAAATTTTAGAGCAGTGAAACTACTTTATATGATACTATCACAGTGACTACATTTTATTATACATTTTTTAAAATCCATAGGATGTACAATACTGAGAGTGAGCCTTAATATGAACTGTGAACTTTAGGTGATAGTGATGCTTCAATGTAGGCTTATTGATTATGGTAAATCTCTACTCTGGTGTGGGATGTTGACAGTGGGGGAAGCTATGCCTAATATAGAGCAGGGAGTATATGAAAAACCTCTGCAGCTTCTGCTCAATTTTTAATGTGTGAACCTAAAACTACTCTAAAAACAAATATTTTAAAAAATCTATTCTCTAACTCTATTAATAAATTAGATTTTACCGATGATAATTTTTTTTCTGATTTTCTTTTCCCAGGTACATGTGGACTTACTCCTTTTGTTTCTTGCTTATATATCTAACTTGCTTTGTTTTGTTTATAAAGTGAGGCTAGTTATCTAAGAGTCCATCCTTGAGATCTGTATGTAGATCCTAAATGCTACATATTTATAGGGCTCTAGCCACAAGAAAAAGCTTATTTTTGAAGATACGGGGCTTAGTGTGGTGTAAAGTACAGGAATATTATATAGGCTTGCAGTAGGAGTAAAGAAAGCCATAATTCTTCAAGTAGGCAGCTAGGTAAGCATTTGGTCTGAGACATTTTTGTCTTCACAGATGGATCTTAATTAAGGTCCACCACTGAAAGGGAGACTAAAAATTATCTTCAGTTTTATCAAATTCAATAATATCTCTATAAAGGTCATATTTTATCTCCATTTATTTATAAGTGAAAATTCCTCAAATCCCTACTAGTTCTTGATTTATCAGAGTCATTAAACCATTGACTAATTAATCTATATATCTTTTATAATCAGATGATTTTATTCAAATTATACATAGAGTGGTTTTTGCTGAACAATTGTGAGATCTGTTTATATAATCAAATATATATAGTTTATGATTTCCAGTTTCTATACCATTTTTAGCCAGTCCTTCCTCATTTCTTAATATATATGGTGATTTCTCAAATTATTTTACATTTTATTTACTTACATTTATATTTCAGTTTTTACACCTTAAATGTTGATTCATTTGTAAATAATTCAGGGGCAAGGCAGTTTCTCTTAATTGATAACTACCTCATACATATGTACTAAGGCCTTCTCAGAGCTGTTAAAACAAATTCTAATTGGGAGACTCTTAAATTGGAGTAGCTCAGGCACTTCATTCCTTTATGAACAAACTAAAAATCAATGTAAACAGTAAATTGAACTAGTAACCGAACCAATCAGAAACCACCAACTGACCTCTAAATAGGAACTTTTCACTTAAACCAATCAAAATTATTTTCTTTGTTTTGTTTCTGCAAATATTTTAGAAAAGTTTTTCCTCTTGCCCCTTTAAATGGAGTGTTAGCCATTTGCCCTGGTTAATCAATCAAGGTGTTGCCCCAACTCATGAATCACTGAATACTCAGATAAACTCCTCAAAATTTAAGTGTGCTTAAGTTTTTTTTTAAATCAGGACTGTACTATCAAATTATTTTTCAATTTGTAATGTTCTTCTTTTTTAAAACTAAGAAAATTTACCTACATGACAATGTTTTCAATGTAAAGTGCCAAGCTTAGAATGTTTCATGATATTCTGTAGAGCAGGATTCAATTAGTTTTGAATAATAGATAAAGTATTTCAACAAACTAGGATTCAAAAAAGAGTGTATGCATATTTTAATGTGCAGAAATGCTATTTAATGAATACAAAACAGAGTGCAGTCAGGGTAGGAGGTAGTTCTATTTCATTGGGAAAGCAGTTTTAATGGATGACCATGTCAATAATGTTCTTATTAAGTAGACCTTTATAGGCTCTGAAAATTTATGGTGCTCTACTGGATCATTTTGTAATTAGTATAGACTCTGCTGTTGTTTCAGTTCTGTTTTTCTTCATGTATTAGAGAATTTTTTAAATATTGGAAAATTGAGCTTAACTTTCAGGATAATAGTGTTAGCTCAATGGATCTGTTTGCAAGTAAAATGAACAAAGCTGTCAAAAACTATTAAAAACAAATACAAAAAAGCAAACAAAAAACAACCATTTTAAGTCTCTGGAAATTGCCCTAAGTGCATAGCAAATTATCTAATGTCGGTAATAACAGTGAGAGTCTGTGACTTTCCAGCCACCACCCACTCCATTCCTATCCCTGCTTCCTGCCCCACCTGTAGCTCAGCTTGATGGGATTTTTACTCAGAATGGGAATGTTTGAAGAGATTAAAACAACAACAACAACAACAAAAACAGTCCATGCTTTTTGATCATGCTCCAATCAAGTCTTACTGTATATCTCCAAAGGAGGAGGCAACCAGCATTTCCCACATCCCTACAACCAAAAGTTGAAGAAGTTAAATTTTTGGTAAGTGCAGCTAAGAGGCATGAGCTCCCACTCTCCACTCTTACCCAGTTGAGAGAGGCTGTACTCCAAATGTGGCAGGCCCAGAATACTGGAGCCTTGACTTCCTTCATCCTCCGTCACTCATAGGGTAGGGATAGCATACCTGGAGAGGAAGAGAAAGGAAATCTAAGATGAACAGAGGCTACCTCCAGGCCCAGATCCCAAAATAGTGGTTAAGACAGTTTGCCAGGTGAAAAGCAATTCATAAAATATGAAAGCTCTGAAGGTCTCCTTCAAAGGACTGATTTTATTTAATCAATATAAAAAAGTACAAGCCTAAGGACGCTCTTGAAAACAATAAGTCCTTTTAATTACAAGCAATGCATTAAACCATAGGCCAAGTATTTCACCAGAAAAACCAGGGAAAGAGAGAGCTTAGAAGAGTCCTTCTGGAGTCAGACTGGCCTTTAAAAACTGCCCTTGTTGGACAAGACTACTGATCTATTTATGACACAGGATATTGTTAAGAAAAATTAAATAGTCCTCAGTAATTAGTAAAGTACAAAGACGTGTAAAACCAAGGAAAACAGACAACTTACCAGAAAAATAAGAGGAAAAGATGCAAAGATTGCCATGCTAAAGTGACTGGCATCACAGAGTGGCCATATAAGCCCTCAACACTGCACTGTCAAAGAAGGAACATCAAAGTCTTTATACTGAGAAGGAAATAGACTTCACTGAAATAGCCCATTAAGTGACAAAACAAATAAACAAGCAAACAACAAAACAAATAAGCCCCAGAGAGTGGGAGAGGAAAATTAGTATGTAGGGTTGCTACAATATGTTACCTAAAATATTCCATTTTCAACAAATTAAAAGACATGTTAAGAATCATCAACAAGTGACCCACTGCAGGGAAAAAATAATAATAATACAGGCAACAGAAATTGCCACGTTAGAGGAATCAGTTATTAGATTAACAAAGACTTCTAAGTAGCCATTACAAATATGTTCAGATTGGAACATAATCAAATGGAAATTCTGGAGTGAAAACTACAATAACTGACATAAGAAAATTATGAGTTAGGCTTAACAATAGATTGAAACTGAGAGAAGAAAGAATAGGAGAATTGGGAGGTAGATCAACAGAAATGACATAATCAGAAGAGTAGAGAGAAAATAGAATAAAGAAAAACAAAGCCTCAGGTCAATGTAGAACATCTTCAAGTGTAGCAACAGTGTATAGTGGGAGTACCAGAGGAGAGAAAATAAAAGATTAAAAGTAAATATTAGAATAAATAATGGCTAGTGAGAAACATTAATTTACATAACCAACATTAACTTATATATCCACATCATTAATTTACATATCTACCCAATTACATACATACAATTAGTGGGAGTACCAGAAGAGAGAAAATAAAGATTAAAAGTAAATATTAGAATAAATAATGGCTAGTGAGAAACATTAATTTGCATAGCCAACATTAACTTAAATATCCACATCATTAATTTACATATCTACCCAATTACATACAATTGAAGGTGTAACATTAATTTGTATACACAATTATTGAGGTGGCTCTGGCAATTTCTTAAAGTAAGACAACAATAAAGTTTGTCACATCAATTGACTTTTCCTTTCATGAAAGATTTCTCTGTAGCATTTGATGCTGTTTGATAGCATTTTACCCACATTAGAACTTCTTTCAAAATTAGAGTTCATTCTCTCAAACTCTGGCACTGCTTTATCAACTAAGCTTATGCAATATTTAAATCCTTTGTTGTGATTTCAACAATGTTTACAGCATGTTCACTAGGAATAGATTTCATCCGAGGAAACCTCTTTCTTTGCTCATCCCTAGGAAGCAACTGCTCATCTGTTAAAGTTTTATCACAAGATTGCAGCAATTTAGTCACATCTTCAAGCTACTCTTGTAATTCTAGTTCTCTTGCCTTTTCTGCCACATCTGCAGTTACTTCCTGCACTGATGTCTTGAACCTCTTAAAATCATCCATGAGGATTGCAATCAACTTCTAAACTCTTGTTTCTTTTGATATTTTGACTTCTTCCCATGAATCAAAATGTTCTTAATGGCATTGAGACTGGTGAATTCTTTCCAGAATGCTTTCAATTTACTTTGTCCAGATCCATCAGAGAACTCACCATTTAGGGCAACCGTAGCTTTACAAAATATATTTTTTAAATAATAAAACTTGGGTCAAAATTACTCCTTGATCCATGGACTGCCGACTGGATGTTGTGTTAGCAGGCATGAAAACAGCATTAATCTCCTGTATATCTGTATTAGAACTTTTGGGTGACCAGGTGCATTGTCAAAGAGCAGTAATATTTTGAAGGGAGTCTTTTCTTTCTGAGCAGTCTCAACAGGAGGCTCAAAATATTCAGTAAATGGGCTGTAAACAGGTGTGCTGTCATCGTGCTTTGTTGTTCCATCTCTAGAAAACAGCAGAATAGATTTAGCATAAGTTTTATGAACCCTAGGATTTTCACACTGTTAGATGAGCATTGACTTCAGTTTAAGGTCATCAACTGCATTAGCTCCCTAAAAAGAGAGCCTACTCTTTGAAGCTTTGAAACCAGGCACTATTTTCTCCTCTCTAGCTATGAAAATTTTAGATAACATCTTCCACCAATAAAAAGGCTGTTTTGTCTGCATGAATATCTGTTGTTTAGTGTAGCCACTTTCATCAATGATCTTGGCTATATCTTCTGGATGACTTGCTGCAGTTTCTCCCAGCACTTTCTGCTTCATCTTGCACTTTTATGTTATGGAGATAGTTTCTTTAAATCTCACAAACCAATCTCTGCTAGCATCAAATGTTTCTTCTGCAGCTTCATCACCTTTCTCAGGCTTCAGGGAATGTTGCAGCTGGTTTTATCTTCTATCCAGACCACTAAAGCTTTTTCCATACCAGAAATAAAGCTGTTTTACTTTCTTATCATTTGCATGTTCACCAGAGTAGCACTGTTAATTTCCTCCAAGGATTTTTCCTTTGCATTTACAACTTGCTAACTGTTTGCTACAAGAGACCCAGCGTTCAGCCTATCTCAGCTTTTGACATGCATTCCTCATTAAGCTTAATTCTTTCTAGCTTTTGATTTAAAGTGATAGACATGTGGCTCTTTCTTCTACTTGAACATTTAAAGATCATTGTAGGGTTATTAATTAGCCTAACTTCAATATTGTTGTGCCTCAGAAAATAGGGATGGCCAAGGAGAGGGAAAGAGATCGAGGAAATGACTAGTCAGTGTAGCTGTCAGAAAACACACATTTATTAAGTTTGCTGTCTTATATGGGCATGATGTTTGGTTCCCCAAAGATATTACAGTAGTTACCTCAAAGATCACTGATCAGAGATAACCATAACAGATATAATAATAATGAAAAAGTTTGAAATATTGCAAGGTTTACCAAAATGTGCTGCCAAGACTTGAAGTGAGCACATGCTGTTGGAAAAAATGGCATCAATAGATTGCTCAGTACACAGCTGCTACAAATCTTTAATTTAAAAAAATTACAATATCTGTGAAGCACAATAAATTGTAACAACCTTTCATAAATACCCTTTGCATTCTTCTGTTGTATCCTTATTTTGTTTGATGTGTGTTTTGTTTGATGTATGTTTATATTTTACGTTTATATTTGTTTGACGTATGTTTTTATATTTCACTACATATACAGTAGTGAAATTACTAATTTGTATACACTAAGTTTTCTTTTTGGTCTCCAATTTTATATAAGTAAAAGATAAGCACTGTTTTATTTTTTCTCCTTTTTTTAACTTAATATTCTTCTTCAAAGTAGATCATTCTTCCTTTAAGTCTTGGGTTCAATAACTTTACTGATTCCATGTTTTTGTATTTTTATCATAATCTTTTTGAAACCTGGTAAGCCCTTTTTGAGTACTTTTTAAATATTTTCTTTAATTTCAGAATAAAAGGTTTATTGCATTTTTACATTTGAATATCTTTTTTTGTATTCTATTTTCTCATTCAGAAATATAGAAACTCAATATTTTGTGTACGTTTTATTTGGCCTCAATAACTATGATCATACTACCTACTGCATTTGTCTTTGTCAAGTTTGTTTACATACGGGTAATATTTTCACACTTACGTTTCATGAAGTATTTCATTTGCTTGTATTTCATCGTGTTAATTCTGATTTTTGCCTAAGTTATTTTTTTCCGAATTGAGGTAAACTTTGCATACAATTAAATGAAAAGATAACTCATTTATAACTTATTGAGCTTTAACAAACAAATGCTTTGGTGTAACCAAACATTATAAAAAGTATAGATATTTGCCACTATCCCAGGAACTTCCCTCAACCTCTTGCCATCTCCGTAAAATCAGAAACCACTGTCCTGATTTTATCCATAAAAATTTCTTTTGCCTTTCTTTGGACCTCATATAAATGGACTCATATCATAGTTCCTTGATTGCCTGAATTGCTTCTTGCAATGCAACATCTTTTTAAAGATTCATCGATGTTGTTGCATAAATCAGAAGTTTTATATTTTTACAATTTTGGATTAGTATCCAATGATTTCTGTATACTATGATTTGTTTATCAGTTCTCCAGCTGCTGGACATTTGTTTCCATTTATTCACTATTATTAATAATTTTGCTAAAAAATTATTTTACATGTTTTTGTGTGACTATTTCTTTTTTATTTCTTGAGTGTACACATAGGAGTGAAATGACTGATTCATAGGGTAGATGTATGTTTTGTTCTAATAGAAATTTCAAGTTTTCAGTGGAGAGGGCTTGTATATCTTTCATTAAATTTATTCATAAGCATTTTATATTCTGTGATGCTATGAACTTTTTTTTTTTTGAGACAGGGTCTCACGCTGTCACCCAGACTAGAATGCAGTGGCGCAATCTCAGCTCACCGCAACCTCCGCCTCTCAGGATCAAGTGATTCTCCTGCCTCAGCCTCCAGAGTAGCTGGGATTATAGGCATGTGCCACCATGCAGGGATAATTTTTGTATTTTTACTAGAGACGGGTTTTGCCATGTTGGCCAGGCTGGTCTCAAACTCCTGACCTCAAATGAGCCACCCACCTTGGCCTCCCAAAGTGGCTATGAAAGTTTTTACTTCATTTTCAAATGCTTTATTTTTGGTTGTAGATTATAATTGATTTTTCTATATTCACCACATAGCCTGAAATGCCTGTGTAAATACACAATGTTCTTATTACTTATTGTATAACTGTAGATGTTTTAGGATTTTCTACATACACCATTATAAAAAGACACTAGAAATAGTTTTTAGAAATGTATATTTAAACTTCTAAATACTCAGAGATTTTAAAATGTTTGTTACTAGTTTCTAGTTTACTTTTGATGTGGTCATAGAATGTATTCTCTATGATTTTCATGCATTAGATTTTATTAAAATTTACTTTATTGACAGGCATAAGGTCCATTACATAAACACTCCATTTGCACTTTAAAATAATTTTCATGGGGGTATGTATGGTGTTATATGAATGTCAAGTTATATGAACGTCAAGTTGTCTGCCATTTTAAGTAGAGTAGCTATGAACTGAATCGTGTTTCCTAAAATTCATACAATTAGGGAAGTGTAGGTATATGGAAAATTGGTGAAGGGTGAGGATCAATCAGAGGAAAGTGTGCAAAACTGGAAGAGAGGTACTCAGTCCAGTCCATTTCCTAACAATTAATTTGAGTTATTGAAATATTCAGTATTGCTGTCTTTTATGTCCTTATGATGCAGGATTCTTCTTAGTCCCTCTGCCAGTCAGGGACCTCTGCGGCTGGCGATGTGTCCCCCCTCAGGCCTTGCTCAGTTCCAGGCCTGCTGCAGGAGGTGCTCCCTCCACTTGGCCTGATGGGCCATGTCTGGCTTGTGCACTAGCCTGGATCTTGCACTTGCTGCAGGATCCACATTCAGCCAGTAGATGGGCCTGGCATTCCCCAGCCTGCCTTTGTTACAGCTGTACCTGCATTCAGCAGTTCCTCAGTTCTTGTTCAGCGTCCAAGAAGAGTGAGGTTACACTGACAATCAAGGGGTGAGGAGGGCAGAGAAGAATTTTATTGAGTGATGGAATAACTCTCAGCAGAGAGGGTACATGAGAGTGGTTCTGTACCTGAAATCAGGTGGTTTCCCTCCCAGCGTGGCTGGGTCCAGAGCTTTTATGGGCTCAGAATTAGGTAGTGTGTGCTGATTGGTTTGTGAGTATGCAAAAAAAAAAAAAAAAGGCTAAAACCAAGGCATCACTCAAAATTGGGCACAGCAGTGTAAAAAAACAATTAGGAAAGGGTAGGTATATGGAAAATTGGTCAAGGGTAAGGATCAACCAGATGAAAGTGCATAAAACTGTAAGAGAGGGACTCAATACAGTCCATTTCCTAACAATTAATTTGAGTTACTGAAATACCCATCTATGACTATGAATTTATCTATTACTCCTTTAGTTTTGAAAGGTTTTGCTTTAAATGATTGAAGCTCTCTTTTTAGGTAAATGCACTTTGAAGATTGTAGCTCTTCCTGATGAATTAATCTTTTATCAATCACTATGAAATATATTTATGTCTGACAACTTTGTTCTTGTCTTGAAGTCGACTTTATCTGATTGACGTAGTAAGAAAACTTTATGCTTGTTATATTCATGATATATATTCCTTCATCATTTTAATTTCAATTAATTGGTTCATTATATTTAAAGTATCTTATGTAGAAAATATAGAGTTAGTTCTTATTTCTTTATTCAATTTGATAATCTCTGACATTTTAAATAGAGTAGCTGTGAACTGAATCGTGTTTCCTAAAATTCATACTTTGAAGGCCTAGCCACTTATGTGATTGTATTTGGAGATGAGGCCTTTGAGAGGCAATTAGTGTTAAATGAGGTTTTGAGGCCCTAGTTGTGAAACTAGTGGCTTTATAACAAGAGGCAGAGAGAGATTGTGTTCTCTTTGTCATGTGAGGACATAACTGGAAGGCATCTGTCTGCAAACCAGGATGAGGTCATTCAACTAGGAACTGAACTTATCAGCACCTTGAACTTGGACTTCCTTGCCTCCAAAACTGTGAGAAATAAATGTTTTTTAAGCTACCTAAATTTCATTGTTTTGTTGTAGCCTGAGCTCACTAATGGAAGACTTTAGTATATTAATGAGTCATTTGGTATGTTTGGGTGTATACATTATGTCATTATCTCTATTCTATTATACTCATTTTCTTGTTTGTTTTTTCCTTTATTTCTTCTTTCTCGCCTTCTTTTGGTTTAATAGAATTTTAAAATTATTATTCTATTTCTTCATTGGCTTTTAAACTACATTTCATTTTATTATATACCAATTTTCTTTAAGAATTATAACATACTTATCAAATGTAATCAGAATTAATACTCTAGTTTTTCCTCATAATATACAATACAGTAACAACAGTATACTTCTATTTCCTTTCCTTTTTATGCTCTTAATTTTCGTCATATAATTTACTTTTAAATAAGTTTTAAATCTCACAATACAATGTTATAATTTTGGCTTTAAATAATAATCTGGTTGTCTTTTACTGAAATAAAGAAGAAAAAATATATATACATTTTTAAATTTCTTATATATATATAACTTTTGGTATAATTTTCCATTAGTCTAAATATTTCCCATTTAAATCACTTGCAGTGAAATTCCTCTGGCAACAAATTCACTCATATTTTGTGTATTTAAAAATGCTTCCTTTTAAAATAATATTTTCTCTAGCTATAAAATATTGGATTTGATTTTTTTCTTTTTCACCACTTTGAAAACATAATTTATTGCCTTATAGTATGCTCTATTTCTAAATAGAAGGCAGTCATCCCTTTTATCAGATAATTTTGTTTGTTTCTGGAATCATTAATTGCTCTCAGTTTGAGACAATGCAACATGGTTTATGATATCTGGAGTATAATTGTTTTCTCCTCCTTTGTTTCACTTTATCCTAGATCAGTCTGGTTGGAGTTTGTATGAAGGAGAGCAGTGTTTTCAAATTGTAGTTTGCCTCCCAGCTGTTATTTGTGCAGTCTATACTGGTGAGAGTTTAATTAGGAATCTATGAATGTCCAGTGTTGTAGCTTGAAATTGACTTTTTGCCCCTCAAAATTGATTCTTAGTTAAACCTGGTCTTCAGACTGCAATCTGTCATTAAGAAATCAGAGTCAGAAACAAATAAGGCAATCTCTAGTCCTATCATTCTCTCTTAGTTCTGCGTCTACAGCTTCATTCTGTTGAGGAATAAAATAGATCTGAAGTGTTTTCCATGATTATAACATTCAAACCAAACCACTAGCTCTCTCAATTTCAATACTATTGAAGAGACTGCTAGAAACTTCTCTAGTATGTAAAAGATTAATTTAAAATATTGTTTAAATATTATCAGTAGCAAAGTTGAAATCAATTTTTAACAGAGAATATGCATTTTTTTCCATATAAATTTTTGGAGACACATCTTATAATTGGTTTTATAAATTTTTAAGTCAACTTCTTACTTGAGATAATTTTAGATACATTGAAAATGGAAATAAATAATTCAGAGGGACACCATTACATTTTCCCCAATGGTAGCATCTTGCAAAAGAATCATACAATATCACAACCAGAATAATGGCATTGACAGGATACAAAATGATTCTATCACTACAATGATCTCTCATATTCTTCTTCCCTTCCATTCTCATTTCACCTTCATCCCTGGAAACTACTAATCACTTTTCTACAACTACAATTTCACCATTTTCAGACTTTTATATAAATAAACTGTTACATATAATTAGTCTTGAAATGTAACCTTTTATACATTTTTTTCACCCAACATAATTTTCTGATGACTTATTCAGATTCTTGTATATTGCAATAGTTTGGGTTTCGTGGATACTGAGCACACTATTTCATGGTATATAGACACCATTGTCATTATCCATTCGTTCATTGATAGATATCTTGATTTTTGCCAGTTTTGGACTATTATAAAAAATATCTGCTGTAAATTTTACATACAGATTTTTTGTCTTTAATTTCTCTAGAATAAGTGCCTAGAATTTTATGGTAGTTGCGTGGTTAGTACAATATTTTAAGAAACTACTGAATTGTATTCAGAGTGCCTGTAACTATTGCACATTCCCATTGGAATTTTCACTGGTAAAATTAATCCAGTTTCTCCATGTCTTCACAAGCATGTGGTGCCCTCACTTTCTTTTTATTTTGGCCATTATGATAGTTATGTAGTGATGCCTTGTTGTGGTTTTAATGTGCATTTTCCTAATGTCTAGTTATGCTGAACATCTTTTCATGTGCTTTTTGTCATCTGCATATATTCTTCAGCAAAATGTTTCTTTACGTATTTTATGCAAGTTCTAGTTGGATTGTTTTTTACTATTGAATATTGAGAGCTCTTTATATATTCTACATATTAGGTCTTTGTTGGGTATATGCTTTACAAATATTTTCTTTCACTGTTTAGTTTGTGTTTTCATGTTGTTAATGTGGTCTTTTGCTGGGAAAATGTTTAACTTTGATAAATTTAATTGTATCACATTTTTCTTTTATGGATCATAATTTTGATGTAAAGTATAAAACAATCTTTGCTTGGCTCTAGATCTTGAAGATGTTTTCTACTTTTATTTCTAAATTTATAGTTTTATGATTTACATTGAAATATGTAATCTATTTTGGGTTAAATTCTGTATATTTTGTATACATTTTTAAAATTTTGTATACAGTGTGAGAGGCTTAAATTAAAGTTTATTTTTTTAGCTTATGAATAGCCAATTATTCTAGCACTGTTGAAAGGCTATGTTTCATCATTTCATTGCTCTGCACCTTTTCAAAAAGCATTTGATCAAATTTGTTTGAGTCATCATCTGGGTTGTCTGTTCTGTTCTATTGACTTACGTGTCTATCCCTCTTCCAATATCACAAAGTATTGAAAACTGTAGCTATAAAATTAGTCTTGAAATCTGGTAGACTAGTTATTTTCAATCATTCTTCTCTTTAGAATTTGTGTTGGCAATTTTTGTTCGTTTACCTTTTCTTGAAAATATTAGAATGATTATCTCTACGACTACAAAACGTCTTGCTGGCATTCAATATGAATTTTGTTAAAACTGTATGCATTTGAGGAGAATTTACACCTGTATTATATTGAAAATTTCAACTTAAGAACATAGTGTATCTACACATTTGAGTCTTCTTTAATTGTATTTTCATCAGTGATGTGTATATAATGTGCAGCATAAAAGTCCTGTATACGTTTTGTGACATTTACACCTAAGTATTTTTTCTTTAGGTGATTGAACAATATTGTATTTTATTCTAGTTTCCACATATTTATTTTAGTACATAGAAATGCAATCAATTTTTGGTTTTGATTTTTTTATACTATAAATTTGCTGAACTGAATAGTTCTAGAAGTTTTTACTCAGTCTTTCACCATTAAGTATAATGTTAGCTGTAGGTTGTTATAGACAATATTTTATCAATTTGAGGATGAGTCCATTGTATGCCTATTTTTTCTTTGGATATTTTCTCACAAATAGGTGTTAAGTTTCATCAAACAGTTTTTTTTCTGTATTGATTGGTATAATTGTGTGCTTTTTCTTCTCTAGCTTGTTAATATGGTGGATTATATTGTTTGATTTTTTGAAACAGTGAATCAGCCTTGCATCTTTAGAAGAAACGTCACTTGGTCAGGGTGAACAATTATTTTATATAGTGCTTAATTCTATTTACTTCTATTTTGCTAAGGATATTTGTATTTACATTCATAAGGGATGTTGAAATGTAGCTCTCTTTTTTTCGTGTAAGACTATTTTCTTGTCAGGTTTTAGTATAAAAGTAATGCTAGTATCATAAAAGAAAGTGGAAAACGTTTTCTCTTCATTAGTTTTCTCAAAGAGATAGTGTAGAGTTGGTATAAATTATTCTTTAAATATTTATTCATAATCTTCACTGGAACCATATAGGCCTGGGGATTTCTCTTTTGAAGTGTTTTAATTAAAGACTCAATTTGTAAAAGTGGTAAGGTTACTCATAGTATCCATTTTCTAGGGCAAGTTGTGGTAGTCTGTGTTCAGAGAATGGCTCTATTTTGTCTACTTTGTCTAGTTTATGAATAAGAAGTTGTCTGTAATGTTCCCACATTCTGGTTGTGTATGCAAGGTATGGAGTAATATCCTGTTTCATTGTGATAGTGGGAATGTGTCTTTCTTATTTTCTGAGTCTTCCTAGAGGTTTTTCAATTTTATTAATCTTCCAAAAATATAGCTGTTTGTTTCATTGTCTCATATTTTTTCAATTTCAGTAGTTTCTACAATTATTTTTTATTAGTTCCTATCCTTTGCTTTATTTGAGTTTATTTTTCTTTGTTTTTGCTAGACTTTTGAAGTGGTAGCTTCAATTGTTGTCTTAATTCTTCTTTAATATGGAAATTTATTGCTACATATTTTTAAGTGAACACTTTTGAAAGCTGTTTTACAAATTTAATCTGTTGTATTTTCATTTTTGTTTAGTTCAATGGATTTTTTTTTATATTCCTGAAACTTTCTCTTTGACCCAAAGTTATCTTAGATATGTGGGTTTTTGTTTGTTTGTTTGTTTGTATCTATGTTTGGGTTTTTTCTTGTTATCTATGATAACAAAGATTTTTGTTTCCATTGTTGTTGGAGAACACATATTACATAATTTTTGTTTATTTTTTACATTTTTATGATTTGTTTTATGGCCTAGGATATGGTCTATCTTGTATGTGTTTCATAAGCACTTGAAAAGAATATATGTTTGCATGTTGTTTGTAATATTTTGTAAATGTCAATGAGTGTTTTGTAAATATCAATTAGAGCCTCTTTTTGTGATGGTGGTGTTGCATCCTATATTCTTGCAGACTTTCTATCTAGTTTTTCTATCAATTGTTCAGAGAAGGGTGTTAAAGTTTGCAATTATAATATTTATTATCCATTTATTCTTTCAGTTCTATCAGTTTTTGCTTCACATATATTACAGTGGTTTTGTTTAATGCCTATTTACTTAGGATTGCCATGTTGATTTCATAAATTTATGTTTTTTATTATTATATTATATGCATTTCTGTCTCTGGTAATTTTATTTGCTCTAAATCTACTTTGATATTAATATAGCCACTTCTGTTTTTCTTCCTCAATGTTTAATACACATATTTTATCACTTTAAATTCAACCTAAATATATCATTATATCTGATGTGAGCTATTTGTTGACAGCATATATTGGGTCATATTTGTTAATCAACTTTGACAATATAATTTTGTGCCACATAACACTGTTTTAGTTAACCATAACTGCATAGATGACAGTGGTCACATATGATTTAAAGGGGGATGGAAAATTTCTAACACCTAATAGACATTGCAGCATAGTAGTGCAATGCATTATTCACATGTTTTTGTTGATGTTGATATAAACTAACCTTCCACATTGCCAGTTGTATCAAAATATAGCATACAGCATTACATATAGTACATAATACTTGAGAATTATAATAAATGATTGTTACTAGCTTATGTATTTACTATACTATACTTTTAATTGTTATTTTAGCATGTACTTACTCTATGTATAAAAAAAGCTAAGTGTAAAGCAGCCTCAGGCAGGTCCTTCAGGAGATATTCCAGAAGAAGGCATTGTTATCATAGGAAATAACAGCTCCATACATGTTATTTCCTCTGAATTCTTTCCAGTGGAACAAGTTGTGGAGGTGGAAGACAGTGATATTGATGATCCTGCCCTGGGTAGCCTTAGGCTAGTGTGTGTTTGTGTCTTTGTTTTTAACAAAAACTTAAAACAATTAAAAATTGTAAAAATAGAAAAAAGTTTATGGAATGATAATATAAATTAAGAAAATATTTTTGTACAGCTGTACAATGTATTTGTGTTTTATGCTGTGTCAAAATTAAAAAAAATAAAGTTTATAAAGTAAAAAGGTTATTATAACCTGAGATTAACATATTATTAAATGAAAACATTTATAAACTTAGCATAGCCTAAATGTATAGTGTTTATAAAGTCTGCAGTGTACAGTAATGTCCTAGGCTTTCACCTTCACTCACCACTCACTGACTCACTCAGAACAACTTCAAGACCTGCAAACTGTATTCATGGTACATGCCCTGTACAAGTATACTATTTTTTATTTTTTATGCAGTATTTTCACTGTACCTTTTCTATGTTTAGATATATTTAGATATACAAACACCACTGTGTTGTAATTGCCTACAGTATTCAGTTCAGTAATATTCTGTACAGCTTTGAGACTGAGGAGCAATAAACCGTACCATATAGCCTAGGTGTGTAGTAGGCTGTACCATCTAGGTTTGTGTAAGTGTACTCTATGATGTTCACATAACAACAAAACCTCTTAACTATGCATTTTTTGGAATACATCCCTGTCATTAAGCAATGCTTGGCTGTATTTTTCTTTAATCAACATATAGATAATTTATTTTAATACAATTATAGATATGTGAAGGTTTGTGTTGGCCATTTTTTTTTTGGTTCTCTGTTATTTCTGTGTTTATCTGTTTTGATTTTTAATGCTTTCCTGAGAATCACTTCAACATTTTTAGAGTTTTTAAAAATACATATAAGATGGTTATATTTAAAGTGTATCTCTTTGTATAACTATTTTTATGGTTGCTATAGATATTACTAGAACGAAACAGACAGGGTTATAGTTTTTGCTTCAACTATGAAACAAAATTCGGAAAACTTAAGAAAAGGAAAGCTTGTTATATTTACTGCTATACACGGTATATGTACCAATATAAAGATGCAAGATTTTACCTGGTTGAGGTGGAATGGGTCAACTAACAGTGCACTACACTTCTTGATTGAGAGATTCTATCTCTGATCATAATCATGAAGTATTTGATATTGTCTCTATTCCTCTCCACTCAGAGAGACAGAAATCTGAGTAAATGTTTCTGATTTAGCAGACTCATTCTTTCAGATGAGTTAATCCTAGTTTTCTTTGTGGAGGGGAGGATTATGAAGTTCATATTTTTTTATGATACCTACTCCATTTTTATTCTAATCTTTACAAATAATACAAGTGATATTTCAATTTTTCTTATGCAGTTTATTCTCTATTTTCCAGCTAAACTATTTGTTGGGCAAATAAAATAATTACTATTTGTTAGCTACAAATTAATTTCTTAAAATTTTATGCATTATATCCTGAGCCTGTGTAAATAGAAAAGTAGAATTTGCAGAAAAAATTGACAAAAGAAAGTCTTTTAGTGGATCAAGAATATATGGGGCTGTGGCCAGGCGCGGTGGCTCACGCCTGTAATCCCAGCACTTTGGGAGGCCAAGGCAGGCAGATCATGAGGTCAGGAGATCGAGACCATCCTGCCTAACAAGGTGAAACCCAGTCTCTACTAAAAATACAAAAAATTAGCCGGGCGTAGTGGCGGGCGCCTGTAGTCCCAGCTACTTGGGAGGCTGAGGCAGGAGAATGGCGTGAACCCAGGAGGCGGAGCTTGCAGTGAGCCGAGATCGCGCCACTGCACTCCAGCCTGGGCGACAGAGCGAGACTCCATCTCAAAAAAAAAAATATATATATATATATGAGGGTGTACCCGTTTTTTTTAGTGTGTGAGCTTTGATGTCTTTCATCTTGAGAGTTGGGTCAGTCTCAATTACTCAATTCCATTCAGCTGCCTTTATACTAGTGTTATTAGATTTTTTAACCACTGTAATATAGACTGATGGTTTTTGGATGTAGGCAATTGTAACAAAGAATTTTAACTTTAATAGGGCAATATAGTTAATGATGATTTTGTCTACAGGTACATGCTTTTTCTTATGTATGTGTACAAACATTTCTATTGAATCAGGGGTAAGTTTTTCTCTTAAGAAAAGTTGTGAACTTAGCTCAGATGTCTATCTTACCTAACTGGAGAAGACTCAAGGACTTCAGCAAGGAAAACTCCATGTGAGAGACTGAGAGGTCCTTATAAAATGTGAATTGGCTGCAGATATACAACATTTTCTAAGAAAGCCTGGCCAAAGCATTCATTTTATTGAAGTAAAGCAGACTTGCTTTCATACAGTTTACTAGCTATTGAAGGGGGGAAAACTATTATTGAAAGTTTTTACTACAAAAGAACACAAGACAATTTTAGGAGTGCTGGAATTGTTCTATGTCTTGTTTGTGGTCATAGTTATGCAAATGTATGTTAGTCAAAACTCCTACAGCTGGCAGAATAGCTAGTGTCTCACTTTTTTTCCCACCCACAGATGCACCAAATAAATATCTATTTATAAATCAATTTCTTCTGAGAAAAAGTCAGAGACCAGACAGGAGACTTCTATCCAATAGGCAACTGAAAAAATACCCACATGAAATGGGTAAGAGAAGCCAAGGTGTACTAAGGCATGGACCCCACCCTGGGAACTTCATCGTACAATTGGGCAAGGAATCTCCAACACCCAGTTTTTCTCTCTGGAAAGAAGGATGTGGACATCACATATGGGGCCCTTATCCCAAGTTTTCCCCTGGTTTGACTTAATTTGTGGAAGTGGAAGGAATTAGATACACGTGTCCTCCAGACCACAGGGAATAAAGCAGGAGTTTTATATAGGTATAAAAGTAGTTACAGGGACTGCATCAGCTTGGAAGCAGTGAAGAAAGGGATCTTTAAAAAACATAGCCCTCTGTTTCCCCCTGGAAGAAGTATACAAAACACCCTCCAGCAGCTGTCAGGTGTCTTGGCATCTAACTAGGACTGTAGAGTGAAGGAAACAGTCAATTATTAACCCACTAGCCATCTGAAAGGAGTTTGCAACCCCAGCAAGTGATCCGATTCTTGCAACACCTAAGGGACTGCCACCACAAATCTCCTAGCTCTGGAAGCATGAATGATTGGTAAATGCATGTCTCTCTACACCGTAGGAATAAAACCAGTGGCTTTTACAGTTATGGAGACTCTTTAAGGGACTCTCTATTCCCTTGGGAGTGATGTGAGAAGGGGCCTTAAAAACACGGCCCAGGCGGGGTGCGTGGCTCATGCCTGTAATCCCTGCACTTTGGGAGGCCAAGGTGGGCTCATCACCTGAGGTCAGGAGTTCAAGATCAGCCTGGCCAACATGGTGAAATCCCATGTCTACTAAAAATAGAAAAATTAGCTGGGCCTGTTGGTGAGTGCCTATAATCCCAGCTACTTGGGAGGCTGAGGCAGGAGAATGGCTTGAACCCAGGATGCAGAGGTTGCAGTGGGCCAAGATAATGCCACTGCATGCCAGCCTGGGTGACAGAGCAAGATTCCTTCTCAAAAGTAAAAAATAAAAACAAACAACAAAAAACATGGCCCACTGTTGGCCTCCAGAATGAGTTTACAAAATGCATCTTAAGCAGCCAACTAGTGCTCTGACTTCTAAATAACTTGCATTAGAGAGAAATTTTACTCACATCTAGAGCCCCACCTTCTATACCATCCACATAAGAGACTGCATTATAAATCTCTTAGCTCTGGAAGGAAGAGGGACTGGCATGCATGTGTCTCCCTTGATTCTAGAACAAAAGAAAATGTTTTAAACCATTATCTAAACACTTCCAGGAGTTACACTCCCTTGGAACTGTACAGAAAAGAAGTAGGATTATGCAGCTCTCAATTTCTCTGTGGAGCTCTCAATTTCTCTGTGGAAGTGGCTTATAATACACACTGTCTGTGGATACTTGATGGCCTGGTCTCTAATGAAAGTGCATCAGGGAGTTAAAGGGGGAACAAAAACAATAGCCCTTCAGTAGTCTGAGCTAAACATTGGCACTTCACAGAACCTCCCACTGGCTCATCCCAGTGATAAATCCAGGCTTATCTAGTCTTTCTAGAATAAGTTTTGCCATGTGGTGAGCACCATAACTTTCATAGCTTCCACCTAAGGAGCTATAACCTTAATGACATAGCTCTACAACTAAACTGGCCTTTGCAATTCTATGTGAACTGAGACCACAGAAAACAAGCAGGTGGATATATAATGGGCCTACTCTCAGTAGCTACCCTTCCTGAATTAGAAAGTGCAGTCTGAAACTGAGTATAGGCATTTGCTACAGATCCACTCTCTGACTTTGTCTAGAGAAAATTGAAGATGAACACCTGTACCTAGCCTCACTGTGAAGATAGAAAGAATTGGAATTAGCATTCAACACTCCAACCTTTCTAGCTACATCTAAAGAGCCTAGCTCCTAGCATATTATATCAGGGTAGTGACAAGATGTGTTATATTCTAAGCTGCAAGGGGGCACTAAAATCAGAGATAACAGTCACAACAATTAGAGAGACACCTTAAAAATTTTGGGAGACAGATTGGTAAAAACCTTCTTTTACACAGTCCAGAATAACAAGACAGATGTTGATATGGTTTGGCTGTGTCCCCACCCAAATCTCATTCTGAACTGTAGCTCCAACAATCACCATGTGTTGTGGGAGGGACCCAGGGAGAGGTAATTAAATCATGGGGGTGGGTCTTTCCCATGCTGTTCTTGTGATAGTGAAGAAGTCTCACAAGATCTGATGGTTTTATGAAGAGGAATTCCCCTGCACATACTCTCTGTCTTTTACTGCCGCCATCCACTTAAGATGTGATTTGCTCCTCCTGGCCTTCTACCATGATTGTGAGGCCTCCCCAGCTATATGCAGCTATGAGTCCATTAAACCTCTTTTTCTCTGTAAATTACCCAGCCTCAGGTATGTCTTTTTCAGCAGTATGAAGACTGACTAATACAGAGGTATAAATGTCTTTAATGCACAGAAAACAACAGGGAATCAATAAAATTATTGAAAAAGGAGAATATATTTCAATCAAAAGATCAAGGTAAATCTCCAGAAATCCACCTGAATAAATTAGAATTTTTTAATTGACTCTGTAGATAATGCAAAATTATCATTGTAAAGATGCGAAACATTGCAAGAACAAGCTGAGAATTACAGCAAAGATAAAGCATTTAAAAATGACAAAAGACCTCATAGGTCTGAAGAAGGCCATAGCCAAACTGTAAAATCCAACAGAGGAGTTTAACAACACCTTAGATTAAGAAGAAGAAAAGATCAGTGAACCTGAAAATAGATTACTGGAAATCATCCAATCTTATGAACTAAAAGGAAAAGAATTTAAAAAAAGAATAAAGGTAGCTTAAGAGACTTACGGGACACTATCAAGCAGAATAAGTTACACATATTTTATGTTCCAGGGGGAAAAGAAAAAGAAACAGAAAATATGTCCGAAGAGAGACTGGCAGGAAGCTTTCCAAGTTTGGGAAAGAAATTACAAAGCTAGATGTGGAAAGCCCACAGAACACCAAAGACAATGAACCCAAAGAGACTCACAACACAACATATCATAGTCAAGTTGCCAAAAGTGAAAGACAAAAAGAGAGAGAGTTGAAATCAGAAAGGAAAAACAAATTGTCAAGGGTAAGGAAACCCTCATAGGGATATTAGTGAACTTTTCAGCAGAAACCTGAAATTGAAAAAAAATACACCTCAAGACACTAGAAAAGCAAGAAAAATTCAAATGCAAAAATATTATAAGAAAAGAAAAACTAAAGATCAGATCATAAATAAATTAAATTGGGACTAAAACACTAGAAATTGTCAATAAAAGTTGTGTTTTTTTAAGGTAAAATCAACAAAGCTTTAGCTATACTATGAAAAAAAGAGAAGACTCAATAAATAAAATCACAGGCAAGAAGGAGGCATTACAACTGATACTAAAAAAATACAAAGAATCATTAGAGATTATTACGGAGAGCTATATGCCAACCTGTTGGAAAACCTTGAAGAAACTGATAAATTTCTGGACGCATGCAACCTATCAAGATTGAACCATAAAACCGAAAACCTGTAAAGACTGATAATGAGTAATGAGATTGAATCAGGAATAAAAATATCTCCCAACAAAGAAAAGCCCAGGACCATATGACTTTACTACTGAATTCTACCAAACATTTAAAGAACTACTTAGTACCAATTCTTCTCAATTTATTCCAAAAAAACTGAAGGGGAGGGAATTCCTTCAAGCTTATTCTATGGGATTGGCATTACCTGATACCCTAATTAGACAAGAACACAACAAAAACTATAAGACAATATCTCTGATGAACACAGGTGTAAAAATCCTCAACACAATGCCAGCAAACTGAATCCATCAGCTCATTCAAAAGATTGTACACCATGATCAAGTGGGATTTATCCCAAGAATGCAAGAGTAATTCAACATATGACAATCAATAAATGTAATTCATCACATCAACAAATTAAAGGACAAAAATCACATGATATCTCAATAGAGACAGAGAAATCATTTGAGAAAATTTTTCATTTCTTCATGATAAAAACTGTCAACAAATTTTGTATAGAGGCAACACATCTCAATACCTTATATGAAGGACTCACAGCTAACATTACACTGAATGGAAAAATGTTGAAGTTGACATCCTGAAATCCTTTTTTTAAAGTCTGGAACAGGAAAAGAATGTCCGTTTTTACCACATTTATTCAGCATAGTATTTAAAGTCCTCACCAGAGAAATTAGGCAAAGGAAAGAGAGTATTCAAATTGACAAAAAAGAAGTTAAATTGTCCCTGTCTACAGAGGACATGATTCTATATTTAGAAAAAGCTAAAGACCCCACAAAAAAAAAAGTCAGGACTAACGAATGAATTCATTAAGGTTGCAGAATACAAAATCAACATACATAACTTAGCAGCATTTCTATTAAAAGTAATGACAACAACTACAATTACTTTTGCACCAATGTAATACATGCCTGTAGTTAACAATCTGAAAATAAAAAAAATCAGAAAGCAATCCCATTTACAACAGCTACAAAAAATTAAATACTTAAAAATAAATTTTTCTGAAGAAGTGAAAGTTTTTTGCAATGAAAACCGTAAAACACTGATGAAAGAAGTTGAAGAGGACCCAAAAAAGTAAAGATACCCCATGTTTATGAATTAGAATAATTTATATTGTTAAAATGTTTATACTTCTCAAAGGGATATACAGATTCAATTTAAAAAGTATCAAAATACCAATGACATTCATAACAGAGATAGGAAAACCAATCCTAAAATTTGTATGGAACCACCAAAAAATTCCCAAATGTCCAAAGCAATCCTGAGCAAAAAGAACAAAGCTGGAGGCATTACACTACCTAACCTCAAGATGTACTCCAAAGGTACAGTAAAAAAAACAGCATGATATTATTAAAAACAGAAACATTGACCAATGGAACAAAACAGAGAACCCAGAAATGAATTCACATATTAGCAGCCACCCATTTTTGACAGAAATGCCAGGAATATATATTTGAGAAAAATAGCCTTTTCAATAAATGGGACCAGAGAAATTATATATCCATGTGCAGAAGTATGAAACTAGACCCCAAACTTTAACCATATAAAATATCGGCTAAAAAATTATTAAAGACTAGAATGTAACACCAAAAGCTATGAAACAACTAGGAGCAAACATAGGAAAAATGATTCAGGACATTTGTCTTGGCAAAGATTTTTTGGGCAAGACCTCAAAAGCACAAGCAACACAAGTAAAATTAGCTAAATGGGATTATATTAAACCAAAAAGGTCCTGCATGGCAAAAGAAACAGTTAACCAAGTCAAGAGACAACCTGCAGAATGGGAGAAAATATTTGCAAACCATACATCTGGTAAGTGGTTAATTTCCAAAATATGTAAGGAACTCAAAAACTAAATTAAAAATGGCTAAAGTACTTGAATACACATTTATCAAAATAAGATATGCAAATGGCCAACAGGTACATAAAATGCTCAATATCACTAATTATGAAGGAAATGCAAACTAAAACAACAATATTATCTCATCCCAGTTAAAATGGCTATTATCGAAAAGGCAAAACATAACAAATGCTGACAAGGATGTGGAGAAAGGGGAACTCTTATGCACTGTTATATACTGTTGGAAATGCAAATTAGTATAGCCAGTATGGAAAACAGTGTGGAGTTTCCTCAAAACACTAAATATAGAACTACCATATGATGCAGCAATCTCATTACTGAATATATATCCGAACTTAGAGAAAAAGTTATGTCAAAAAAATCTCTGTACTCTCATGTTAATTGAAGCACTTCACAACAACCAAGATAAGGAATCAACTTAAGTGTTCATCAGTAGACGAATGGCTAAAGAAAATGCAGTATAGATACACAATAGAATATTATTCAACCTTTGAAACCACAAGTGAAATTATGTTACTTGAAGCAACATGGATGAGCCTAGAGGACATAATGGTGAGTGAAATATGCCAAGCACAGAAAGACAAATACATGTCCTCACCCATTTGTGAGAGTTTAAAAAGTAGATTGCATAGAATAAGTAGAATAATTGTTACTAACATATAGGGGGGTAGAAGGAAGGAGAGTATTGGTGGAGGTTGGTTATTGAGTACAAAATTAGATAGGAGGAGTAAGTTCGAGGGGTCTATACCACAGTAGGATGACTATAGTTAATACTAGTTTATTGTGTATTTCAAAATAGCTAGAAAAGAATATTTTGAATGTTTTCAACACAGAAATATTAAATATTCCGCTGAGAGATATTCCAGGTATCCTGAGTTGATCATTATACATTGTATACATGTATGAAAATATCACATGTATCCTATGTATATGTACAACTATTATATATCAATTACTTTTAAAAGTTCATACAACTGTCCAGAAATTTTGCTCTATGTAAATTACACCTGAATAAGTCATACCAAATAATGGGTTCCTGAAATACCTGCCATCAAAATAATACGAAGCCTACAAAATATTATACCATTTAACTAGAAGATAATCATCACTCTAGCTGCTTAACGAGTCCTAATATGTCCCTGATGTTGTAACATCATCAAGAACGATTTGGCCATCTCTAGAAGTGTAAGATTTTGTGTAGTATAAATTTTAGCCTCAATTTTGTCAAAATTTATCTGACAGGTACTTTGTTTTGAGTATTTTAATATTTCTATGGATATTTGCTAACAAGTAGAGTTTATTGAATGTTTAGGTATCTCTTCATTATTTATAATTTATTATTTGAGACATTAATAAAATTTATACAGTTAAATTTTATAATTGTAATTTGGTGATTCTTTGACAGGTCACATTTAAAAATGTGAATATAAATCATTTGTCATCAGTCTTGAGAACAGAATACCCTTGTGATGAATTTAATCTTTATAATGGTCAAATAATAAGTGAGGGAACACAGGATTGGAATAAGGTTATAAACACCTTTAATTTAATGCTACCTCCTATACTATCTACACTTAATAAAGAAACATATTTTACATGTGCAACATTGCAGCATTTACAAAAATCACAATATATTGTCACCCCAAAATAAGTACAAAAAGTAAATAATGAGCATATTGCATATGCTTATCATAAGCCAGTAAGTTTTACATAAACAATAAAAATGGCTCTGAAAACTATTTTTTGTTTTTTTTGAGACAGTCTCACTCTGTCGCCCAGGCTAGAGTGCAGTGGTGCGATCTCAGCTCACTGCAACCTTCGCCTCCCAGATTCAAGTGATTCTCCTACCTCAGCCTCCTGAGTAGCTGAGACTACAGCAGTGTGCCACCAGCCCAGCTAATTTTTGTATTTTTAGTAGAGATGGGGTTTCACCATGGTGGTCAGGCTGGTCTTGAATTCTTGATCTCATGATTTGCCTGCCTCGGCCTCCCAGAGTGCTGGGATTACAGGCGTGAGCCACCATGCCTGGCCTGAAAACTTTTTTAAAAGAATAGCAAATAAAAGAAAAGTAACTCTTGTCTTAAAGAGAATATCAAAATTGACATTCTATATGCCATGGAGAGGGAAACAAAGAGTGAAAAACATATAACACATCTAAGAGACACAGAAAACCTGCATTTAGAAAAACATTGCTAGTCTACTTGTAGTTAAGATTAACAAAAAACAGACGAACTGAATATTGTTATAAAAACCAGAAAAATAATGACATAAAAAGAATGAGGCATATTGATAAAAATTTAAGTTGAACTGAATGAAATAATAAAAAAGAGGAGTATTAATAAATAAATATAAAATCATTATTCTCCCAATCCAATCTTACAACTACTTAAGGTAAAGAGATAAAAAGAGAAAAACAGATATATTTATATTTATAAATCTATCTATTATATATCTGCTTGCCTATCTATAATTAAGAATGGAAAATAGCCATAACTGAAGCTATGGAATAAAATTAAGTAGAGGAATGGGACATGTAAAAGAATCTCACGAATTTCAAATCGGAGAAGATATAGATTAGATTCTAGTAAAATATAATATGGAAATTTAAACAAAAAGTAGATTTTGAATCAATCAATTCAAGAGAAGTGTATTAAATTATACAGGGGGAATACACTGTAATAGCTAAATTCTTTCTACACTTAAATGATAAATATTCCATTGATATTTACAATATCCTAAACCAAAGAAAAATACATAAAAATTTACTATAAAGCTACCTTAGTTAAGGCAATGAGGTTTTCACCTAGAAGAAAAGATATTAATGAAAAAAAAGACAAAGGAATGTCAGGAATAGGCAGGCACATATACATCGCATTTATCTCTAACAGAAATATCAAGGTAGCTCAACAGCAAAATGACTTTTTATCAAATAAACCTGATATAACTGCATAAATATATCAAAAAATAAATGTCAAGTCCTGTATTAGAGACTCATAAATGTAGATTTGAAATGACCATAGAATTAAATATAAAATCAAAGCTATAAAGCATCTAGAAGAAAGTATAATGAAACATCTTTGCAAACTCTTAGTAGTTAACACTTTTTTTATAGAAAACACAAAAGTCACTAAATATAAAAGAATAAAAAGGTAAACATAACAGAACCAGACTAAAAGCACCTTTCAAAATATTCCGCTACAAAAATTAACAGGCGAGCTATAGTTTGGGAAAGTATTCGCACCATGTACATCTGTCAAAAGTCTTTTGTCCAGAATACATAAAGAACACTTACATAATTACAATAAAAGAAAAAATGGCTAAAAGACTTAGACATTGCACAAAAGTGTATAAAAGCCAATAAGTACATGAAAACATTCTTAGCATCATAGGTCATCATAAATATGTTAACTTTAATCACAAAGACGTCTCATTTTATATTTTCCAGAATGGTTAAATTTAAACAACAAACAAAACAACAACAAACCTGACAGCACAAAATGTTGACCAAAATGTGTGTGAACTCAAACCCTCATACCCTGCTAACAGATAAGTATAATCAGTCAACTACTTTGAAGTAGTGTTAGTCTCACTTTTAAACGGTAAACACAGATTTACTGTATAATACATGAAGTACACTGCTAGGTATTTACTCAAGAGAAATAAAAGTATGTGTCCATAAAATGTCTGTACAAAAATGTTTCTACAGTTTATTCTAACCACCAAAAACTCACACCAACCCTAAAGGCCATCAAATGGAGAGCTGATAGGTAAATAATTTCATACTAAGTACAATGAGATTCTGTTCAGTAATAAACAAAAAATAAAATATTGATACATATAACCACGGTATGAAGCTCAAAAACATTATGTTGACTTAAGAAGCTTTAGAAAATTGTACACAGTGTGTGGTATACCATTTATTTGAAATTCAATAAGAGAAAAAATAATGTAAGAATGTGCAATATTAATCTCTAATAATAGAAATCAGAACAGTTGTAGCCATATACAAGATGGGAAAGATAAGAAGTTACGATTAAATTCTGGGTGATGAAAATATTTTATATAGTGATTAGGATGGTCAGTATATGGGTAAACACTTATCAAAACTCATTGAATAAGAACTTCACGTCTTTGAATTTTGCTATAAATAAATGTGCCTTAATTAAAAGCAAATACTTCTAACTCAGTAATCTAATGCCTGGAAATTTATAGAAAAAAATTAAAAAGGAATTATGTGCAAGAATATTTATCACGTTATTTGTAATCAGGAACCCCTGGTAATAAAGTAAATGCTTCTCAGTAAGAAATGGTCAAATAAGTCATTCTATAATGAATTATGTCTCTAATGAGAAATCAAGCCTGAACTCTTTTAAGGGTTTTGCTAATGAAATGTTTGTGGCAAAACCACTCTCTCTCTCTCTCTCTCTCTCTATATATATATATATATATATGTATATATATCTGAGAGTGAGATATCTACCCATATATATATAGAGAGATACATATATCTATCCATGTGTGTAGATAGATAGATAGATCTAGATCTATAATATATAGATATATAATATATAGATATATAATATATAATATATAGATAGATATATAATATATAGATATATAATATATGTAATATATAGATAGATCTAGATATAATATATCTATATAATATATAGATAGATCTATATCTCTATCTATCTATCTATCTATCTATCTATCTATCTGGATAGATAAAGAGAAGAAAAGTTCCATGAAAAGTTTGGATGCAACACTTTATTCCAGTGAACAGTTTGCAAACTGAGGAGACACAACCTTCAGTGTAGAATGTAGAATAATGTGTTGCAGAGAACAAAGGGAAGATTCAGGTTTTACAGCAAATTTCAAACCCAGGTTCCTAATCTGGTCAATTTTTGCAAATGAAGGATTGAAAATGGCTTATTTTTATTGGTTAGTGTAGTTGAGTTCTGATTGGTCAACTTAGATAAACCCTAATTGGTTGATACAGCCAAACCATGATCAGTTAATACTTTCAAACCCTGACTGGTTGATTGCCAAGACAAAACTAGAAGTTTCTGTCAATTTTTTTTTTTCCCAAATGGGAAGGGGAAGGTGGTGCTTTCTGGCTGCTCTTTACCTGGGCATGGCACTTGCAACAGGAGCTGGATTGGTTTGATTGGAGAAAAGTCAGTCCTGTGATGCTTTTACATCTTTCTGAGAGCACAAAGTACATACATGACTGCTCCTTCACTCAGTTATGACCACCTGGTTCTGTTTTAAGTCTGAGAACCACAGTTAGCCATGGGGAGTCCATTTTGTCTCTCCCTCTCTCTATTTCCTCTCTCTTTGTAAATATATGAATGTAACATGCCAAATCTCAATTTGTTCTTTACTAACTAGTTTGTTGCCATGACCTCATACAATGTTTGAAATACAATGTGAACTATAACATTGTGCATATATCAATGGCTACCAAACCCAACAATTTGCTAAATGTCACAAAAGATACTGGCTCCGTCAGGTCTAGAACATTAGAACAAAGAGCTTTGTTTTTCTAGCTTTTACTGTAAAGGATATTTTCCCAATTAAAATTATGAAGCCCTATGCATTTGTTTCAAGGTACATTTTAGAATTTGTGTACTTTCAAACTATTTAAATATGCAACTAAAATACTTTATTAGTGACTAATTTTACGTAAGTTTACTTATATGTTTATGAAATTACTCAAATCATATAAGAATAGCATTACTTGTAACTTTAAAAATATCATGGAAACATAATAAAAGCACCTTAGGTAAACTGTTTATGATCTTAACATTTTTATTAAAGCCCAATACAACTTAAGTAAATTGAATCATTTAAAAATGTAAAACACAATTACATAGAGAATAATGTGCATTATTTAGTGAGTTTCCCAGTAATTCTAATATTATATCTAAATATTAGAGATAAAAGATAAAAGACAAGTTGCCAAGTAGAAAACTTGAAATTGGGGAGAAAAGAATAATAAGTCCCATGATAACATAGAGAAGACAAGAAAATAGCAATCTGGTTTAGTGATAGGAGATTTCATTTTCTCCACAAAAACTGTAAAACTTTTGAGAGGTGTAGGACAATAAAATACAAAATTATGGATGAAATAAAGAATTATTGACCTTCTGTGTCAGAAATCCTAATAGGAATGGTCCTATCCAATCTCAGAGAAAATGTGCAGTTAGTAGATTAGAAACAGCAAAGCTGCTTGGTTCAAGTGACCTCGTGATTAAATTCAATGTAAGTTAGAACAGTGACCTAAATGCTATATCAAACTATAGCTTGAATTCTCAAAGGCATATTTTGAAAGCATAAGAAAAGGAATGGGGAAAGTGGTCTAGGAAATAATAAAGCTAACTTAGCAAGAATAGAGGAATTAAAAAAGAGAAAGAAAAACAGAATATGGGCAAAGTAACTTCACAGGATAGCCACTTTTAATATCTTTTTCTTTAAGGTGAATGAAGTATTCCTCTGCTTTTTTTTTCAATGATTTATTGTCTTAGTGGTCATCACATATTAATGTCAGCAATAATTAAATTTCATATTAAAGCAAGCTGGATGCTTCTTCCCTGAAGAATGAGTACAGGTTAGCAATAATTCTTATTGGATCATAAAGCTCTTCCTTAGAAAATGGAACTAAGAAATTATTCCCTAAAGCCTATCCAAAGGAAAAACCTCACAAGTTTTATTAAGTTGTTAAATAAAACAGCAGGCAGAATTGGGAAACTCAGCAAATGAAATAAAGAAATTTTAAAATGTAGAAAATTAACTTTTTATTGAAGGTAAAATTACATTATAATGTGCAGGGATGCCTGACTTAACCAGTACCTGGCCAATCAAGTATCTATCAAATAGCTGGTGTTGCCATACAACTAACAGTCCTAAGTATAAGTTAGGAAGGCTATATAGACTTCTCTGATGTCCCCTAAATTAGAATTTTATTAGTTTTTTAAATAAAATATTAATGCAAGAGATATAGGCTCATAAAATTACATAATCTAATTCATCAAGAATCAAATTATAAGGAACCTATAGTTAGAGTGAGGATATCTTTTTTAACAATACAAATCAGCTAAACTAACAATGAAATTCACCTGATTATTCATTATTTCCTAAGAACTACTAAAAAAAGTCTTTTTACTCTGGTTGACCATAATTATAAAAACCTGTTTTAGCCCTTTTATTCTCATTGCTTTAACATATATGCTCAAAGGCCAGCATTCAATTCAGAATGATATTGATTATCCAATAAAAACCAACATTATCCTTTACATTGAATTTATTACAACGATATTTTGCATTTTTAAACAAAATTTTAGGTAAAATTTACATTTTTCTGCACAACTTTATTCTCTTCACGAGTAGTAATAGCAAGTCATGATTTTGTAATTTTATAGATTTTTCCAAAGTCCTCCAAAGTTGCATTTGATTATTTTGTAACTAAACATAATTGTAGAGGACTGTGTTTATTGAGATAAATTAGTGGTAATTAGTGTGCAAATGAAGGATGATTTTACAGTTATAGTGGCTATATTTTGTTTTTGTCTAGATACTTTTATTATATAAATGATAGAATCTCATTTATGTGTAATTTAGCTAATGAAAACACATTATTCTACACCATGCCCTTGAGTGTTCACTATGAGCCAGGAACTGTATTTTGCAATCTCAAAACTATATCTCATTTTATCCACATTACAGTCTTATTGAGTTGGAACGTTTATCACTCTTATTCACAAAAGAATAAACTGAGAGATAGAGTCTGAGTAAATTATTCAGTCATATAGCCATAGCAAGCATATAGGTCTTATTTTTTCAAGCTGCTTCTTGTTAGAAAGCATTAACATTTCTAAAAAAATGCTGATTGCAGTGTACTTTCTGTGCAACCTTTATAATTGTTGCTATATCTATGTGTAATCTTTATGATTAAATGTATCATCCAATATTGCTATTCAGGTTGACCCACTTTTTACTCCAAGAAAACTTAAGTGTGAAAATTTCATATTATCATCATAAAGGAAAAAACAATGTGCACTGATATGAAATCAGAAGAACTATATAACATAAGTAATGGCAAAATATTATTATATTTAACATTTTAAATGTATTTTAAAAGCTCATGATAAAGTAAATTATTCTTTAAATGACTCTGTCAATATTTCTTATATAGAAAATAAAAGTATTCATAATTGTTTATTATCAGCTTTATATCACTGATTTTAAAATAATTTGAACTTTTAAATTTTACTAGAGTAATGCCTAAGCTGTATTATTACAAAATTAAGATGAGAACTTTATGACTTAAATAGAGAAAAAATTATTACTCTATCTTATAAAAGTATTTGGAGAGTTCAGATGCGGAACATGTGGGGGCAGGTGGATATCATGTGATATGGTCTGGCTATGTCCTCACCCAAATCTCATCTTGAATTGTAGTTCCTATAATCCCCACATGTCATGGGAGGGACCTGGTTGGAGGTAATTGAATCATGGCAGTGGTTACCACCATGCTGCTGCTCTCGTGATATTGAGTTCTCATAAGATTTCATGGGTTTATAAGGGAATTTCCCCCCATTTTGGCTTGGCACTGCTCCTTGCTGCCACCATGTGAAGAAGGATGTGTTTGCTTCTCCTTCCTACGTGATTGTAAGTTTCCGAAGGCCCCCGTTTGCCGTGCTGAACTGTGAGTCAATTAAACCACTTTGCTTTATAAATTACCCAATCTTGGGTCTGTCTTTATTAGCAGCATGAGAATGGACTAATACATCATCTTTGGCTGCAAGATGGCTGCAGCATTTGTCACCCAATCTGTTAGACATGACCAAAATAAGGAACATGCTTATGCCTTTAAGTGTGTGACTTTGAAATGTCTTACATCATTGCAGAATCTCACATACTAATGGGGAAAGGGAAACTTAACATTGCAACAAAACCTGAGACGTTTAATTCTGGGTTGATGACCATCTGCCTAGCCGAAACTCAGAAGGAGAAATATTGATGTAAAACTAGCAGTGCCAACACTAGTTTATTGTTTTACATTCTTTAAACTTTTATTTGAAGTTCAGGAGCACATTTGTGGGCTTGTTATATAGGTTAATTTATCATGGGGGTTTGTTGTACAGCTTATTTCATCACTCAGGTATTAAGCCTAGTACCCATTAGTTATTTACTCTAATCCTCTCCCTCCTCCCAGCCTCCACCTTCTGATAGTCCTCAGTGTGTGTTGTTCGCTTTATCTGTTCATGTGTTCTCATCGCTTACCTCCCACTTATAAGTGAGAACATGAGGTGATTGATTCTTCTGTTCCTGCATTAGTTTGCTAAGGATAATAACACAATTAAGTCTTGCTGTTATCTGGCTTTAACAATCCATACCTTGCATATGTGTTAGTAGAAAAGGCAGAATATATTTGAGTGTCCTCTATGAAAATATTACAAGTTGAGAATTATTTTCTGGACATATGGTTATGAAGAAAATTTTTTCCAGCACTTTTTTTAAGAAACTCTCTGAATCATTCTCCATAACCTGATCTTTAGAATGTGTTCAACTATTTAGTTATAGCTTCAAAGTTTTAAGAAATAAGTTTTTTCCACTTGCTGGTGCCATCAGGTTTTGGAAACATTTTAGAATACTTTTTAGAAAGTCTTTAAGTGTTTCTCCATAGTATCCAGAGATTCTTCAGATGAAAATAACCTTACCATTTAGATAATGAAAGAGACTCACTTAACACAATCAAAGTATGTAAGCTGTGACTCCATCTTTCTATTATATTCATTCTCCCTTGTAGAGGCAATACTGAGAGACTGCTTTGTATGGCCATATTTAGGATTTTCAAATGAGAAACTGTATTTAGAAAATATGCAGGTTTTAAAGTCATTTCTATTTATCTATATACTCTTGCATAATGAACTTTTTGCCCAAGGAGGGCTGAAGGTCTTTCAATTAGAAAATGTGAATGAAGAATTAAAAAGGCTACAGCTGACGGATTTTGTTTGAAAAATAGACATTTGTAGTCACTGGTCCAATCTTTGAAACCGAAAAGAAATACTGCTGCTATGTAAGACAGTATGAAGGCTCCCACAAAATAAAAATTAGAGATTCCATACGATCCAGCAACTCCACTTCTATTTTTCCAAGAAATTGATGTTGAAGAGATACCTGTACTCCTATGCTTATTGCAGCACTGTTCACAATAGCCAAGATGTGAGAACAGCTTCAATATCCATCAAAAATGAAGAAGTAAAGAAAATTTAGTTTATATGTACAACAGAATACTATTCAGCCTTAAAAACAAGAAAAATTATGCAACACTCAACAACATGGATGACACTTGAGAATATTATGCTGAATAAAATAAGCCAGTCACAGATGAATATTGCATGATTCCACATATATAAGGTATCTAAAATAGTCAAATTCACAGAATCAGTGAGTGAAGTGCTGGTTGCCAGGGCCTGACGACAGGGAGAAGGTAGGGGTTACTAACCTGTGGGCATTGTTTCAGTTAAGCAAGATGGATGAGCTTTAGAGATCTGCTGTACAACATTGTGCCCAGAATGTATGTCAACAATATGTATTGTGCACTTAAACATTTGTTGAGAGTAGAATTCATGTTACATTCTTACTAAAATAAAATATTTTTAAAAGAAAATTAGGTAAAAATAGAAAAGTTGTAGGAATACTTGGCCTGCACTTATTTTAAAAGCTAGAAATATTTATCTGCTTAATTGAGGACAATGATATAAATGGACCAGAAAAACATACTATATACTACCTATAGGAAACTAGGTGTACTGAATGTCCACGTATCTATTCTTTAATTATAATATTATATAATACTTATTTATCAATCACCTCTTACACAGGGTTGGGTAACATAACAAGAATACAATAAAAATCTAAAGAAATAGTTCCTGGACTAAAAAAATGGTAGTATTATGTGGGTGAGTGACATTGATAAAATAAGCACACTACATAAAATTACATCTGTGACAGATGCAAACAGAGAAAGGTCAATGGTTTTATAAGTGACTGCATTATTTCAAGAATGGTTGACTTAGGCAGGGCAAGAGAGCATCACTCATTGAGAAAGAAATAAAGTTACACATGAGGAATAAGAGAAACAACTAGTTGAAGAAGGAAGATGAAAACACTGGCAACGTCATAGTTGAAACAAGTCCTGAACTCCAGAGGTAAATCTTATTTCAAGTAAATGACAGTTCTGACTGGGCAAATTTGGACCAACCACTTTGGTGAAATAGATGAGATCTCACTGATTTCAGCAATAGGGCCCTACTGATGATCATGAGTGTAGGATCAGTATGATGCAAAATTCATAAATGCTATGTACTGATTAATAGGTGGTTTTGCCAGAGAAAATTTGGGTACCTCTGGAAGTAAAAAGAGAAAGAATGAAGGCTTCCTGGGCAACTGTTCATTTATCACTGTGCTTTCCGCAAGTCTCTACAAGTTGGACCTTTCTTCCCACTCCCTTACCATTCTGAACTTTCTGTAGTATGAGCATATTTCTGAAATTACTTGCTTGCTGGTTTGTCGCTTACACTAGACTGTGGATTTCTCAACTGTAGTAAATTTATTACCTTCATTCTTTTCTCAGTTATAAATATTCTTGTGTATATGCTAAGTAGATATTTAATACAAATATTTTTGTGTGTATGATAGGTAGACATTAAATGTTAATGAAAAATTATTGAAAGAAAAAATACTAAATGAGGTAAGGCTGGAAAACTCAAATGCCAGTCATTCAGTTAGAAAATAAAAATGTCCACCATGGCACATGTATACCTATGTAACAAGCCTGCACATTCTGCACATGTATCCCAGAACTTAAAGAATAATTCAGAAAAGCAAAAAATAAAAATAAATAAAAATGTTTTACGAACTCTAGACAGTATGTATACAGCATTTCTTACAATGAAATATAGAAGATTATAATCTGAATTTAATATCTTCTCAATGTACTATACTTATACTCTATAATCTAAGCTAGAAATCATAAAAATTGCCTTAGCAGGTACAATCAAAAAATTCAAAGTATTTACATCAGTATGCTAATATATTAACTTTTAGAAAACACTAAGAAATTATTACAAAATCACAAGTTAGAGTCATAACACATTCAGGGATTATTTTCTGGCTTTTACTGCTTTGAATCAGGCATAATAAAAACACTACCTCTTAAAAAGCATGACGCAATGTAAATTGAACCTATACAAAGATGTATGTTTCATTGAGTTTAATGAGTTTTCCATTGAAATAAAATAAATTATTATAGTTCATCAGTTCGCTAGAGGTTATGTAATATATGGCATTAACAATCACAAATGCAATGCAACTCAGGATATACAGCCAGAAGAAAGGTATTATTAATACTTTTATGACTGTGTGTAATAAAGTGAGAAATATAAGCCAAAACTTTCTTAATTAAAAAATTGGTTTTTTCTTCCTTTTTTTTAAAAAAAAATTTTTGAACTATGATGTTTACACCTTGTGATGGTTAATTTTGTGTGTCAACTTGTCTGGGTGCGTCTATGACGGTAGTTCCAGAAGAGATTAGCATTTGAATATGTAGACTGAGTAAAGAAGATCCCTCACCAGTTTGGGCAGGCATCATTCAATTCTTTGAGGGTATGAAGGACAAATTTTTCCTATCTCTTCTTGAGCTAGGACATCCATCTTCTGCCCTTAGACACTGGAGGTCCTTGTTCTCAAGTCGTTGTACATGAACTGAAATACACTGCTGGTTCTCCAGCTTGCAGATGGCAGGTCGTGGGACTTCTCAACCTCAATAATTGTGTGAGGCAATTCTCATAATAAATCTCCTCTCCTCTATTGTAGTTATATATAAATATCCTATTGGTTCTATTTGTATGCAGTATGCTGACTCACACATCCCTCACTGAAAAACTGAATAAGTATTTATATTTATAAAAGCATTTTCTCTGTCCTTTAACTTAAAAAAATTAACCTAAAGATATTAATATACACTTTAAGTAGAATGCTATGTTCAAGAATAGAAACTAGCTAAAGAAAATTGGCACCTTAATATTAGTCTTCAAATTCAATATGTGCTATATACCTCATTTTTTTGTTTTGTTTTGTTTTTCTTATGTGGTTATGTGTGTATGTGTGTTGTCATTCTTGTACTACCCCAAAAACAATGAGATTGTTAATCAATCTACACTAGTGTTACATCATCTCTAAATTATCTCACTCATCCACTCTTTCTATATATATATAAATGTGTGAATTTATATGTGTGTATACATATATGTACATATATGTGTGCATATATATATGCACACCTGCATATATATGCATATACATGCATAAATACAGATATACACAGATATGTCTTTTTAATATCACTACAAGTAGTGATTCATTCAAATTCACTGTACACTGATCAAATAGTATGCTGTGAAGTGAAAGTGAAACCTTCTGAAAACCACATTATTGTTTATTAGACAATTCATACATTTATTCCAGCCCAGTGGCTACAGCATCAGGTAAAATGACTTATTTCTTTTTGATACCTAGCAAGTTATAATTTCTTTAACGTTCTGAGGCTACAGAATTACAATACTGTAAACCATAGGAGGATCATTTTCTTTTAATAGCTATGCCAAAATGCAAAAAAAGTGATATACAGGTTAATACATGTATTTTAAAAGGTGAGATGAGAAAACTGATTGTTTGTACAGGAGCTTACTCCACAGGTGATTTCATGAGCAGCTTTCTGTTTGCTCTAAAATTCCTTAGGTAAAACAACACAAACAAATAGGGGATATCTGATGTTACCATAGCACATTACCAGGTACTAAAGTTCTGTTGGCTTGTCACTTAGAATAGATCTGCAGGCCAGGCGTGGTGGCTCCCAACTATAATTCTAGCACTTTGAGAGGTTGAGGCAGGCAAATTGCCTGAACTCAGGAGTTCGAGACCAGCCTGGGCAACACAGTGAAACCCCGTCTCTACTATAATACAAAAAAATTAGTAGGGCGTGATGGCACACGCCTGTAGTCCCAGGTACTCAAGAGGCTGAGGCAGGAGAATTGCTTGAACTCGGGAGGTGGAGGTTGCAGTGAGCCGAGATTGCACCACTGCACTCCAGCCTGGACGACAGAATGAGACTCCGTCTCCAAAAAAAAAAAAAAAAAAAAAAAAAAAAAAAAAAAAAAAAGAATAGATCTGCAACTTGAAAACTTGAATGTAGGCATTTGGAACATCAAGAGAAAAGTAAGGAACACTGTTTAACACTGTTTAACAATGACGCTTCAGCATACATAAATAAATATATAAACATAAATTAAAAAGTGGACTATTTTATTGTTCATAGCCTGCCAGTCACAGGTGAGGCTAAGAACCAAAGAAGAGCCTTAAATACACACAGTGGAGGTACAGCTGAGCTCATGAACTCTCTAGTGGAGTAACAAATGTGCAAACTTTGCTTCAGCCAAAAATTTAAATTTATTTTACTTGAGATAAAATTTATTTACTTTGTCAGTTTTCTTCTGAGAAAAATCAATACTAAGTAAGAATATTAGATTTGGCAGTGCTTTGTAAAAAATGCTTTGTCACTTAGTCACATGGCAAGTTAATTTAATTTTCAAAAGAAACGGAGATGAGGCAGGTCTAGACTTGAGAAATTACAAAAGTCATTTTGGTGGCCTTCTACGTCTATTTGCTCATATTCTGTATCTTTCCCAAAAGCACAAACACCATTGTTACTGCTCCGTAGCTTTTCTTTGAGCACTGCCACATTCAAAGATTAGTTCCTCCCATTTTAAATCCATGACGTTTGTTTCTGATTTATCTTTTTTTTTTTTCTCTCATCATGGCCTTGCTAGATTTGTGTGATTAACAGTTTTACAATATTTTGGATACTTCCATTTTACCAGAATATTTCTTAAAAAGTGGAAGTTTAAGTCTTGTTATAGGTTGAGAAATACTGTTTAGGCAGGACAGTTTTGTACATATTTTCTGTTGTTTATCAAGCATATTATGGAATGCTAGAAGCTTGTCTAACGCTAAGCAACTTTCCTGCTAAAATTGGTGGTCACATTGTTTGACAGATGGTGATCTATCATAAAACTTTCAATATGAGTAATCAAAGAAGACTTTTCTGAGGGGATGACATTGAGCTGAAATATGAATATAAGAATATTCAGCCAGACAAATATGTGGTATAGAAATTAAGCATATTGCAAGCTGAAAAAAACAAGCAAAACATGTAAGTTGGGAATGGGATATTAATGTTTGTTGTGAGTAAGAAAGATGTTCAGCAAAATTACAGCTTTATGAGGGAGAGGGAGGATATGGAGAGATGTAGTTACAAAGACTATCTAGGGGAAGGTCATACTAGGCTTTGATAGATATGGCTCGAGGTGGGGATTCCAGTTCTGAATAAATTGTGTATAGCAATGAAAAGGCATTACAGGGCTTTAATCAGAAGAATAAATGGTATAATTTTGTACTTAAGACTGTCTGTCAAGCTTGCTTTAGAGATAAAGATTGGACTGTAAGATAAAATGAACAGAGGGGAGTATATTATATGGAGAATGGGAGAAAATATCCCAGGGGAGTGATAATGATGGCTTTAGCTCAGGTGGTAGCAACGGCAGTAGTGAGAACACTATATTTTAGGGTGTATTTAACAGGTAGCACCAATAGATCTTTCAGATAAATTTAATATGATTTATTTTGTGTGGGGTGGGTATAATCAGGATGATTTTTAGGCCTGGGGAATTGGGTAAATGAGTCTAGCATTTACTAATTAAAATGTGGAAGAATTAAGTGAAAGCAAATTTGGGAGTTGGATGTAGAAATTCAGTGATTCTGTTTACATCACATTAAATTGGATATGCCTTTTAGACAGCCAAATGGACATCTCAGGGTGGCTGTTGTTTATGAGTCTGGCATACTAGTCAATATCTATCATAAAAAGAGAGATTCTGTGGTTAATATGAATGAAAATGACATATTAATTCATAGGAAATATGAGCCATTGTAGGAAGAAAACGTAGATACAAATAATAAATATGACAATTAAATAATACCAAGAGTACTAAGAGATTCAGTAGATGAAAATTGGAAATAAGCCATAGGCATTGGTGAGCTTGCTATGAGAATTTTCAGTGGCATTATGAGAAGGAAAGACTAGTTGGAGAACCTGGAGAAGAGAACATGAGATACTATTTGAAGATAAATAAGACAGATGACTTTTTTTCTTTTTGAGAAAATCTGCTGGTAAGTAAAAAAATGAGGTAAATGATATGAAAGGAACTTTAGTGTATTCACTCTTAATTCAGATTTTTATATAAAATGGCTGATATAATACAGATAGAAAATCATAATTCAAGAGAGAAAAATAATTAAGAAGCAAAGTTATTTATTTACTTAAGAATAGAGTAGAGGAACTGAAGATGAGGTTAATTCTACTAACTGTGCATTCAACCTGACCCTGAATGTAACCATACCTACTTTCCAAATCTTTTCCTTCTGAAAACAAAGATTTCATATTTTATAACTATACTTCCTCAGTCATAATTAATTTTCTTTATCTTATCACTGAAATTATACTTTTTAGATAACTATTATTAATTTTTAGATGGTAGATAATGAACATATTCACAATGCCATTAGCAATAAACATTGAGAGAAAAATATGATACCAAAGAAAGGAGACAAAATTTTATAAGTGGATTCCTTGAACAATTGAGATTTGAAGGGCTTACCTACAAATGTTACAAACTTGGGGTCAATGAACAATTGTTATGTAAATGACATGACCTAGAAAAGTACATGATCTATTCAAGCACAGATATTCAGTGAGCCTGGCCTCTCCTTTGTAAAATGTAGTTATAGGAGAAGCCTGAAAGACAGTTCAAAATAATAGAAAGATTTCTGCTCAGTCTAATATTAATATATTCAATCTCCTTAAAATACTATTAATTAAAACAGAGTTTCTTAGCAAAGATATTGCACAATGGTATGAGTTATAGTTAGAGATTTTGTGAATGAACATGACTGAAAAAATATACATTTTTTGATTTTTTGCATACTGCAAAATGCTAGGGCTTGCCCTTATGAACCTCTACTGTGCAGGCATGTTAGCAATTTTGATACAAATCTTTTGGTTTTCCATGGCAGTGCACACTAAGTAGGATCATGTCCATTTGATTTAGTCAATTCTCAGGTTTTGACTTAAAACATAGGCAACAGCTGAAGGTAAACTCTTCTACAGAAAGAAGAACCATTAGCTGGTGATGCCATCCTCTCTCTCCTGAATTAACTGCCACCAACTGACTACCAAGAGAGAACAAACTGCTGCTGTAAGAGAACATCAAAAGATGTTTTCATTCTTAAAGAGAATTTTTTTTTACATTCCTTGATTCAGCTTCCCATAGCATCTTACTGTTGTGAATGGTGCAAAGCATAAATTATATAGTTAGATATGAATTACATGGTTAAACTTTCATATACAATGGGATTTAATAATTTAGTTTTATATAATGTCCTTCTGTTTTTATATTAGATTTTAGTTTATGTTTTACAAAGACATCTGAAGTTCCAGTGTGGTAATTTTTGCAAATTAGTTATGTTTTAGGAAAGGAAGACTCCAGGCCTAGGGCCTACAGACAATTCTGATGAGGTTTATGAGGAAAGACGATATAGTCATTTCTCTAAAATAAAAAGGAACACACAAACACACAAACACAAATATGTCTTTACAATGAAGCTAGTTTTTAGTGAATTTCATAGGAGCTGGTACTCTTCTATTGTGTAAAATTAAAAATATACCTAAAATCATAGTCATTTGAGAAGTAAATGTATTATTTCATGTGAATATTGAAATCTCATTAAATTTTAACTACATTGTTAATAAAAAGTCTCAAGGAGCAAGTTTGTTGACAGAACTTATTACCCAGACAAAGATAAATCATAGATTTGGTGAGAATCTTACAATGAGGGGAAGTAATATTATAGTTAGCAAAAGCCTACAAGAAAATGAAAATTTTCCACTCTCAAAGAGCATAATAAATCATTGCGTCAATAGCATGTCACATTAGGCCGAAGAGATTTTCATTAAGAAAATACACAATAACTTCTTTAGGTGGCTGAATCAATACCTTTTACCAATAAATATTATGATATAGCATTTGTAAATGTCAGAAAATTTAGAAAATTTTTTCTAGAGCATCAGGTTATCCCAAACTAACAATCTGAGGCTCATTTAATATTTTTTCTTTATATCTGGAAACAAAAGATATATCTTGAAGGAAATGTGTCAGAATTTGTACTAATGTGGCCTCATCAATGATTGACTCAAAGAAAGTTTTAATTCTCTTATGAAAATGCAAGAAAGCAAGCAAGCAAGCAAAAAAGAAAAAGGAAGTTGACATCAAAACAAGCTACTTTCTTCACAGAGAAGAGCTAATGTCAAAATTCTTGGAGTTTTTTAATTTTATAAATAAAAAAATAAAATTCTGAATGATGCTATGGATAACTTCATTAAACAAAGACGAGCTAACTCAAGAATGTGTATTTTATTTATTTATTTTTTAACTTCGTGAAAACGTGGTCAAAGAGCATATAGACCTGTTACACACAGAAATTTGGCAATATAGTAGAAATATTTTCAGCCAGGAGTTTGAGTTGGAGGTGAGTTCTGAGAGTACTTTCAAGTAGTCGTAGGCCATATTTAGCTGAGTTATTTGAAGATAAAAACTGAGTGCCCAAACTAGCCTGCTTAGTCTATTTTTATAGTCACATGAACTACTTGACTCTGAAAAAAGCTCTGGAGAACGTTTTTTACTTCCGGTGAGATAATTTCGGGATTTAAAAGGAAAATAACTCTTTGGAAAAAATTATGTGGTAAAAGGAAATTTTAAAATGTTGTTTTATTGCTTCTTTGGCTTAAGTGAGAAGCGATATCACCAAGACTCAAATTTTATTAAAATTACCATATTTTTTCCTCTCTTTCAAAACCACGGTTTGGCTGGTAATGGATCCTTTCAATGAAACTTTTGCAAAGCCTGACAACTTAACTTGGAGGGAAAAGAAAGAACTTTGTTAGTTGGAGACTGATAATTTTAAGAAGATGTAGAGTGATCAGATAAAATATAAGACACTCGGTTAAGTATTCTCACCAGAAAAGAAAATACAAGTATGTCCATTTATGCAAACAAAATCTTTTTCTTAAGTTTGTTCCACATTTAAATATAGAAAACATTAAGAACAGGTTTTACAATAAAGTCATAAATTTAGTTGTTTAATTTTACTTTTAAAACCAGTATTTTCATTGTTCTTTTTTTTTTATTTCAATAGGTTTTTGGGGGAACAGGTGGTGTTTGGTTACCTGAATACGTTATTTAGAGGTGATTTCTGAGATTTTGGTGTATCCATCATCTGAGCAGTGTACACTTCACCCAATGTGTAGTCTTTTCAAAATCAGTAGTTTTATGCATGTATGGTCTTATACCTGAAATCAAGGTAGCAAAATATGTGGTAATAGTTTCATAAATGCTTAGTGTTTTTTGAGCCTGATCATAGTCAACAATAAAATTAAAAGTGTTATATAAAATTGTCTTAACCTAAATTTTCATTCATATTGAGCTGACTTATAGCTTTAGTAGCTTTGCTATACAATGTTGTTAGTCAATTTTCATGTTGCAAATAACATTAATTAAAAGCAATTTATAAACCGTTAAATCTGCTGAGCCAATCTTTATATAAATAAATCCTATTTGGCCTAGGACAGTTATTTAAGATGAAAAATTGTCTTATGTGTTGAAAACACTTTTTAAAAAAAGTTTTAAAATTCTTAGAATGGTAAGCAAAGCTTAAATACCTTTTTAATATGAATAGTTGGCTAAAAGTAATTTTCAGCTTTACATAAGTAAAACAAAACACTTTTGCCCACATCATATATCACACATTGTGTGTCCTTAGTATCTGCATAGTTGAAATTTTTGACAGGATTTCTGGGTTAACTTTGGAAAGGCTAAAAAATCATGTTGAATTTATTTTTTTAAAGAAATAACATGAACTTTACTTACATTACTGATTTACATTAAGGTTGATAACTTTTACGTGAAAAAGAAGAATCATACAAAATAAAGGTCTAACATGCTGTCCAAAATGAAAATATAATTCTGTATTTGAGAAAAAAATGGTGATTATAATTACATTATTATATCTACAGCTACCTGATGCTGATACACTATGAACTATAAATATAATAATTTCTACACAGGGGATCTTTCAGACCTGAAAATTATTTCTAGGGATGCTACAGGAAAACAGAGGTCTTTGTCAATTATACCACTTAGTTGATGGCACATTCAAACATCTCTTTGCTTTAACTTAAATGTCAATTTTTCTCTTCTTCATCCTACAGTTGATTCCTTTTCTCACTAAAGTAATTAACATATTCTGGAACACAATATTCACAGGATCTACCAAAATGGAGGTTAGAGTCTGATAAAGGAGAACTATATTAAGTAATAGTCTCACAAATAAATGATTATGCCTTCTAGTAGCAATTACGGGAGAAAAGAATTTTGTTTTAAAAATAAATTACGAAGGTTCTAGTTGACATGAAAATGTCAGAAATGGCTTTTCATTAGTGATCTGAATAACAGTGCACCAGGAAAAAATTGGATGGAAGGGTTTTTAGGGTAAAAATGCCCTGTGGAATAAAAATACTTGATGTCATAAAGAAACTTGAGAGTAGAGTGTTATGCCTGGAGAATAGTTGTCTTAGATTCAAATATATGTGGAAACCCAGTAGTAATTGGTAAAAAAAAATTGTCATTGTTGTTGTTTGAGAAAGAAATCTTTGTATTCATAGCAAAGCTTATTACAGGAAGGAAAACAAGTGTAACCTTAATGAAGAGATTACAGCAATTCTCTCGTTAAAAAATGACCTTTAATTATGAGTTGTATAGGTACTGAAAAAAAGAGACAAATGGATAAGCTTGAGAAATATTTTATAAGCAAAATTTGATTTTTTATAATTAAGATAAAAAGGTATAATAAGGCAGAGAGGAAGATATTATGGGTAAAACATAGGTTGTTGCCTTAAATTACTTAACTAATGAATATGCTTATTTGGTTTCAAAAGGAGAATGTTCAGTTTGGAGCTTTTTGTTGTTAAGATAGCTGAAAGACAGTCAAATGAATGTTAAGGAGGCATTAGGATATACAATCTGGATCTCTGAAGAAGTATCAATATTAGATTACTAAATTTAAATATTCTAAAATAGAAACGTTACTTAAAGCCATTTGAATGGGTGACTTCTCTAAATGAGAAAGTATATGTAGAGTAAGAATAGAGAAAATTCAAGATACAACTCTGAATAACTTCTGTTATTATAGTATAGTTAAGGAAATAGGTTAACGAAGTTCAAGTAGCCAGAGAAACAGTAAGAAATTAAAAGTGTGTGTTGTCATTAAATCAGAGGATGAAATTATTATAAGAAAAAGGTCATGTGTTGTACAGAATGGTGCTGAGAGATCTAGTAAAACAAAACTAAAAATTGAGCATTGTAAAGATCAATGTGGAGATTACATTGGCAATGTGAAAATCAATGGCAAAATTAGCAAAAAAGTCTTGATATATTGGAAAGAACAGAATTTCAACTCATGAATGAATCGATAGCATATATGAATATTTTCAAGAAAATCACCTGTTAATAAAAATAGATGAAATTGTAGTATTTGAATCATTGGAGAAAAACAACAAGCACTTTTCTTAAATACAGAAAGTACTAACACACATTTGAATAATGATGGAGATAAAATCATTACATTAGAAGAAGGTAGGTTGCAGGAGGAAAAGAAAAAAAAAAGCAAGGAACTATACCTTGAGAAGTAGAGATAGGATGAAGCTTGATCTTTGATAGTTATTTTGTATGTAATTTTAAATATCTGCTATAGACACAAACATGTATTGGATATGCACAGCTTAAATGCAGAAAATAGAAAATTATTATCACACACACATTTTCTTAGTATACTTTATTAAGATACTCAGAAATTAAGCATGTGTGTGTGTCTGTGTGTATGATTATCTCTATATCACTCTCCATAGATAGAGAATGTAAGCTCCGTTGGAAGAAATTCATTTAAGTTAGTAGCTTATATTATGCTATTTTTTCATATCCTAACCATTTAAAAAAATAACCTATTTTTTATATTATAAACTTTCTTCAGTACTTTTTTATCTAAATGAAATTAATAACATAAAAATCACGATCTTAACCATTTAAGTTAACAAGTCAGTATTTGTAGTGTGTTCAGAATGGTTTTCAACCATCCCCACTAACAGAATTTCAAAATAGTTTTATCAGCACAGAAAGAAACCACATATCTACTAAAAGTCACTTCCAGTTTTCCCCACCTCCATCTCTCATCAACCATTAATGAACCTCCTGTCTCTATGGATTTGCCTACTCTGGATATTTCGTATAAATGGAATCAGACAATAGGCAGTCTTTTGTGTCTAGATTCTTTCATTCAGCATAATGTTTTCAAGCTTCATCAGTGCTGTGGAATATATAAATATTTATTTGTCTTATGTGACAATAATATTTCATTATATGGATACATGGCATGTATTTTATCTGTTCATTGGTTGATAGACATTTGTATTGTTTTTGTTTTCACTTTTTGGCCACTATGAATAGTGCTGCAAGGAGAATTTCTACTACATTTTGCGTGTGTGTGTGTGTGTGTGTGTGTGTAAGTACCTAAGAGTGAAATTGCTGAGTAATATGTTCATTTGTTTAACTTTTTGGAGAATTGCTAGATATCTCAAAATAGATCTGACATGTTACATTTTCATTAGCAATGTATGAGGAATTCATTTTCTTTCATTTCACATTCTTTATTGGTTATTTGTATATCTTCTTTGGAGAAATGTCTGTTCAAATCTTTTGCCTGTTATTCAATTGGATTATTTGTCTATGTTATTATTGAATTGGAAGAGTTCTTTATATATCTATATGATAGACGGTGGATATGTAATTTACAGATATTTTGTGGTTGGCCTTTTAATTTTTTTGATAATATCTTTTGATGCAAAAAGTGTTTTTTTAATTTTGTGAAAGTCCAATATATCTATCTGTCTTTTGTTCATTATGCCCTAGAATGTCATATTTAAGAAATCATTGAGCAATCTAAGGTCACAAAAGATTTACACTAATGTTCTTTTTTTAAGTTTTGTAGTTTTATTCCTTACAATTATGTCTTTGATCAATTCTGAGTTACTTTGTGTGTGTGTGAGTGTGTGTATGATGTTGGATAGGGTCTAAATGCAACTGTTTTACATATGAAAATCCAGTTATCCCAGCACTATATGTTGGAAGACAATTACTTCCCCATTTAATTGTTTTGGCATTTTTTGGCAGTGCTGAAAGCAAAGCTTAAGGAGCAGGACAAGTCATTTAGGTGCCTTTGAGAAGAATACTGAAAACGAGAAGCTGCATGAAGAGGGCCACCAAAATAAGCATTGTAACTTTATATATCCATAGATGTATGTTTTTATTTCTGTACTTTCAATTCTATTTAATTGATCTATGTCTATCAAAATGCAAGTATCGGCCGGGCGCGGTGGCTCACGCCTGTAATCCCAGCACTTTGGGAGGCCGAGGCGGGCGGATCACGAGGTCAGGAGATCGAGACCACGGTGAAACCCCGTCTCTACTAAAAATACAAAAAATTAGCCGGGCGCAGTGGCGGGCGCCTGTAGTCCCAGCTACTCGGGAGGCTGAGGCAGGAGAATGGCGTGAACCCGGAAGGCGGAGCTTGCAGTGAGCGGAGATCGCGCCACAGCACTCCCGCCTGGGCGACAGAACGAGACTCCGTCTCAAAAAAAAAAAAAAAAAAAAAAAAAAATGCAAGTATCACACTATTTTGATTATTGTATCTTACCAGTGAAATTGGGAAGTGCAATTCCTTCTACTTTGTTATTTTTCAAGATTGTTTTGGTTATTTGGAGTCTCTATTTTCACGTGAATTTTAGAATCAGCTTGTTAATTTTACAAAAATAGGCAATTGAAATTTTGATGGAGATTACATTGAATTTGTAGATTAATTTGGAGAGTATTACAATCTAAAGAACATTTTGTACTCCTATTCATAAACATGGAATGTCTTTCCATTTACTTAGGGTTTCTTTAATTTTGTTCAACAACGTTTTGCAATTTTTAATGTACAACTCTTTCACCTCTTTGATTAAATTTACTTGTAAGTATTTTATTATTTTAATATTATTGTGAATAGAATAATTTTCTTAATGTCATTTTCAGATTGCTCAGGCTAGTATGTATAAGTGCAATTACTTTTTTATATTTATCATTTATTCAGCAACTTTGTTGAACTCAGTTTCGAGGTGGATTTTTTAATATATAAACATTTGCATCCCTTTTATTTTATTTTCTTGCCTTTTTGTCCTGAATAGAACTACCACTACAATATTGAATAGAAGTGGTGAGAGGAGACATCCTCTCATCTCATCTTGTTCCTGATTTTAAGGGAAAAACCTTCAGACTTTCATCATTGAATATAATGTTAGTTTTTTCTTTTTTTTTTTTTTTTTCTAACAGATGTGCTTTGTTAGCTTGAGGACTTTCCTTTCTTTCCTAGTTTTTTGAGTATTTTTATCATGGAAGTATGCTGGATTTTGACAAATGATTTTTCTATTGCTATGACCATGTGTTTATTTTCCTTTAATCTAGTATTGTTTATTATATAGTTTGATTTTTGTATGTTAAATCAACTTTACATTATTGGGATAAATCCTACTTAATCATGTGTGTAATATATTTCATATGCTGCTGATTTTGGATTGTTAAGTATCGAATATTGCCTCTGTCTTCTAAAGAGAATGTGGCACATATACACCATGGAATACTATGCAGCCGTGAAAAAGGATGAGTTAATGTCCTTTGCAGGGTCATGGATTAAACTGGAAAGCATCATTCTCAGCAAAGTAACACAAGAAGAGAAAACCAAGCACTGCATGTTCTCTCTCATAAGTGGGAGTTGAACAATGAGAACACATGGACACAGGGAGGGGAACATCACACACCGGGGCCTGTCGGGGGTTGGGGGACTGTGGCAGGGATAGCATTAGGAGAAATATCTAATGTAAATGACGAGTTGATGGGTGCAGCAAACCAACATGGCACATGTATACCTATGTAACAAACCTGCACGTTCTTCACATGTGCCCCAGAACTTAAAGTATATATATACATAAAGAATATTGCCTCTATCTTCAAAAGGGATACTGAACTCTTGTTTTATTTTCTGGTAGTATCTTTAACTTTAGTGTCAAGGTAACACTGTTCTCCCAGAATCCGTTAGGAAATGTCTCCTCCTCTTCTGTTTTTTAAAAGAGTTCGAGAAGAATTGGTGTTAAGTTTTCATTAAATGCTTGGTAGAATTCACGCATGAGTCTATCTGGTTCTGGGCTTTTCATTGTTGGAAGTGTTTTGATTACTGACTCCACTGCTTTTCTTATTGTATGCCTATTCACGTTTCTTTTTCCTCTTGATAATGTTCTGATAGTTTGAGTGTTTCTAGAAATTTATCCATTTCATCTATGTTATCATATTTGGTGGTATACAGTTATCATAGTATTATCTATATTTTTTTTAAATTTCAATATAATGTACATACTTTTATTCTATTTTAGTAATTTGAGCCTTTTTCTTTTATTGGTAAGTCTAGCTAAAGGATTGCCAGTTTTCTTGATATTTTCACAGGGTCAACATTTATTTTTATTGATTTTTCTCTGTTGTTTTTCTGTTCCCTATTATGTTTAATTCCAGCCTTTATTATTTTCTTTGCATTTCTTGCATTAGATTTAATTTTATCTTCTTTTTTGTGATTCTTAGAGTGGAATGTTAGATAACTTACTTGAGATTTTTCTCTTTTTTATAGATGGTTTATAGATGTAAATTTTCCTCTGAATGCTGCTTTCACCACATCCATAAGTTTTTGCATGTCATTATTTTGTTTTCCTTAATTTCAAAATATTTTTTTAATTTCACTTATGGCTTATCTTTGATCATTTATTTAGAAGTGTGTCATCTATCTTTGAAATGTTTGTTAATTTTCCCCACATTCTGTTTTAATTTATTTCTAATTTCACTCCATTGTGATCAAAGCACATAATTTGAAAGATTCAGACTTTCCAAACTTATTTATACTTGTTTTGTGTCCAATAGATTGACATGGTCAACAGGAATAGAATTCCATTAGAATTCTAATAGAATTCAATTCAACAAGAATAGAATGCACATGATTCTCAAGTGCACATGGATTTCTTTTGCATATGCACTTGAAAATTATGTGCATTCTATTCTTGTTGGGTTGAGACGTCTGTTGGTTGCATTTGGTTTTCAGTATTGTTCAAAACTTAAAATTTCTGGAAATTTTCTCTCCAATTGTATCCAATATTTTAAGTAGGTTGTTACAATATCCAATTATTATTTTTGAAATCTATTTTTGTCTTTAATTCTCTCATTTTCTGATTTATGTATTTGTGGTCTCTGTTGGTAAGTACATTGAAAAGTACTTGTTGTATCTTCTTGTTAGATTGAATTCTTTGTTTTTATATAATATATTGTTCTCTCTCATGACAATTTTTGTCCTAAAGCTTATTGTGTCTAATATTAGTATTGACACTCAAGCTCTCTTTTGGTTAATGTTTGTAAGAAATATGTATTTTATTATTTTTTTCAACATCTTTGTGTCTTTAAATATTAATTGACTCTCTTGCAGATAGCATACAGTTGGATGCTCCTAAAAATGTATTCTGTCAATCCTTACCTCTTCCCTGGAGCCCTTACTTCATTTATATCTATTCCATTAAGTTACAAAAATGGACTTACTTTTGCCATTTAGCTTTTGTTTCTTATGTGGCCTCTGTCTTTTTCTTGTTCCCCAATTTCTCCATTACTGCCTTATTTTATGTTAGGTAGTTATTTTCCAAGGTACTCTTTTTATTCTTGTGTCATTCCTTGTACTATGTATTTTGAGTTAGTTTCTTAAATATTGTCCTGGAGATTATCATAAACTATTTAATTAATAATATAATTTGGAGTACTAGCCACTTAATTTTAATAATTTACAAATTTTATCTTTTATATAATTTTACTCCTGTTCATTCTATTATTATGACAAATTACATTTTTATAAATTGTGTGCCCATTAACACATATTTATAAATATTATGTTATGCAAATAGAAAATAATATGTAGAAAACAAGAAGAGATAGAAACAAAAAATTAATACTGCTCTTTATTTTTACCTATGTAGTTATCTTTACCCTTCACATGGTTTCAAGTTATTGTTTAGTTTTCTCTAAATTTACCCTGAAGGACTTTAGCATTTTTTTACACTGCAGCTATGTTAACAACAAACTCAGTTTTGTTTTTATTTTTTTAATCTGAGAATGTATTAATTTATTCTTTATTTCTGAAAGATCATTTTGACAAATATAAAATTTATGTTTCACAGATTTTTCTTTTCTTTCTGCAGTTTAAATATGGCATACCATTGATTTCTGGCCTCCATAATTTATTATGCACAATCAGATGTTAATCTTACTATATGTATTAATCCCTTGTATGTGAGGAGTCACTACTTTCTTGCTGCTTTCAAGTTCCTATTTGTGTTTCTGCTTTTATCAGTTTGATTATAATATGTATAGGCATGGCTCTCTGTTAGTTTATTCTACTTGGAGCTGGTTGAGAATCTTGGATGTGAAGATTAGTATTTTTTATCAAATTTGGGTTTTCTCCCATTATGTCTTTAAATATTTGTTTCTGCCCTTTTTCCACACCTTCTGAAACTCCTATTGTGCACATAATAGTGTGCTTGATGGAGTCTCATAGGTCTTTGAGGATTTGTTCTTTATCTTCTCATCATTTTTTTCTCTATTTTTCTCAAATTGAAAATCTCAATTGATCAACTTGAATGAGTCTTCCTTCTGTATGTGGAGATCTGATGTGTAGCCCCTCTAAAATATTTTTTTTTATTTTAGTTGTACTTTTCGACTCCACAATTTCTGTTTGACTCCTTTTAAAAGTTTATATTCCTTTATTATTATTCTGTATTTGGTGATACATTTTAACGTTTTTCTTTAGTAATTTAGATAAGATTTCTTTTAGATCTTTGAACATATTGGAATTATTTAAAGTATTTGTCTAGTAAATTAATTGTCTGGTTATTAAATTAGTTTTGATCACTTTTTTGTGTGTGGGCCATACTTTCTTGTTTCTTTGCAGATCTCATACATATTGTTGAATTTGGAACAGTTTGAACGTTATGATGTGCGAAATCTGGATATCAGGTTTTTTCTTCTCTGTAGAGTGTTCTTGCTGCTTTTCATTTTTGATGTTCTTGCGATAGTTTACTGAGAATGATTTCCAATTTCATTCATGTCCCTACACACGTTTGTTTGTTTAATAACTTCTCTGATTTGATTTTGTAAATTATGTATTTTTTTGGCATTTGTGTTCACTGAATTGACAATTTTGTTAGCTTAATGTGTAATGATTGAATAATTTTATTAAATGCTTGGAACCAAACTGTCTTCCAGTCTTTGCAGAAATGTTCTGTGTGTGTTATGGCACACTTTCAAAACTCAGTTAAGAAGTTTAAAAGTTTACCTTAGCCTTAACTTTCTTTTTCTGCAGAGTTTCCAGATCAGACAGATGTGAGAGGTGAGGAATTTTCAAGCCTTTCTGAAGCATGGGCAGAGCTATGGACTTGTGTATCTTTCTTGTTTTCCAGTAATATGTCAAAGCTTTTCAGAGCCCTTATTCTAAGCAACTCACTATCCAGTCTTTACTTTCAAGCTTTTGACATAGTTTAGTATTTGCCCCAATTATTAACCAATTCCTCAGCAGCAGTGTCTAAAATGTTTGTTTATAAATGTCTTCAATAAACATCTCTGCCTAGCAGCTTTAGTAAAAGGCAAATTTCAGTCAGTTGAGATAAAGACAAGTCTTCTAAGCAGGTCTTCCAGAGATCCACTAGACCAACATATAATTAATGCATAAGTTCCATTCTTTTCCTTTCTCTACCAATACTTGGAATGATGAGGCCTGTGATTTCTCAAGCCATCCCTGAGCTGGGGAACAGAGCATGGTTAAACACCATAAAATTTGCTTTTTTTTTTTTCTCCTGAGTAAAAGCTCCCCAGGTTGTGGCAAGCTTTCAGTTAGTTTTCAGAGTTCTAATAATGTTGATTCTGATAGTTATTTTTCCAGTTTTTAATATGTTTTTATGTACAGACTGGCTTTTTGAATTTCTTACTTAAAAGTAGGGATGTCACTGACATCATTCTACTTTTGATGACTTTATTCTCTCAGTACATTTTCAAAGAAATGTTAATTATGATGGTCAAAGAAAACTCTTTGTTGCTACCAATCTTTCATTTTTACCACATGTGACACAATTTTACTGAAATGATATGTGACATCTTAACTATTTTAATATACATAATTATTATTTATATTTTAATATATATAATTATTATTTATTATTAAACCTTTAAATATTTGGCTATTTTCATTGTTTCTGGACCAAACTGACCTGTCTTCTTTGTTGTTTTGGTTTTAATTTGTCTCAATAAATGTCAAACTGTTTTTGGAACTGAGACAGGTCTACCGTAGTTAGGTTTTGAAAATTGTACTTACAATAACCATAGCAATACCTTAAAAGACATGCTGATATTGTTGGCTGTCATGTACTGCATTTATATGAATGGTTCCACTCCCAGTAATTCTGAGCCCAATTTAGGGAAATTATGTAAAATTAATTATTAAATTATTCAAAGTTATATGCACTGAAATAACTGACTTTTTACTTTTTTTCAACAACAAACTATTCTTAGAAATCTTATTAAGTGTCTAAGATAATGCAATTCATTCTAAAATGTTTTTATTTTATACTATCAAAAGGATAAGGGTGACATTTGTTTTCAATATTTTATGGAGTTCCAGGAAGAATAGGTCATCATATATTTGACAAAAGGCTACACAAGATTGCTCATTGTACCTTTAATGAACTCTAAAAAAGATCTTCAATGATTGTTTCTTGAAGATAATTAATCAGTTATTTCAGAAATAATATTGCTCTCTTCAACATCATTATCATATTAATCATCATAAAAAATTGCATGTGCAATACTCTGTAGTTTCAATCTGTATTCTTTTTGTTTCTTTTGTTTTCCAAAAACTCTTTAGCAATGACTGGCAGTCAGACCATTAAATTAGTTATTATTTCAAATCAAGATTTTAAAATGCAAAATGTTTGCTTATAATTATATGACTAAAAAATTTTAGAGACAGGACTAGAACTTCATTTTCCCAAACTATAGTCTAATATTCAGTTTAATATACTACACTGACTAATAATCTTACATTTGTTCTGCACTGTAAAATGGTTTATAAAAACGTCAATTCAGGGACTTAATTATACAGAAAAGGAAGGAAACATTATTAGTGATTAGAACATGTACCAGTCCATAGAAATCATGGACTATTCTTGGCAAAATGTGGATTTTTTGGAATTCACTTATCTGATTCTGTCGCCAATATTTTCAGCTGTGACATGGATTTATCTGTTTCTAACCATGAAACAAATTTTCCTGAGAACAGTATTTTCCCATTTATTTTTAATTGCTTTGAGAGACTCTGACAAGGTGCACTATAGAAAGAGGCATATTGTTATTTCAAGAGATGTTATCACACTTTCTTATCTTAAACACTGAAACTGCACAGCTTATTAGTGTGCAGAATTGGTGATTCATAATGCACTTTGGTGATGATGCCAGGCATTACATTTAAGAAAGATAGATGACATACTAAAAAATTTTCAAGAATAGTACAAGGAAGAAAACTATTATAACGTTAAAATAGACATACATTATTGTACTTTACATGCATGTTCTACTGAAATACAGCTTAATATATATGGGATTGTTGAGAGCATTTAAAAGAAAAAAGGTACAATGAACACACTAGTTATTAATCTGTCTTATACTTTTAATGCTAAACATTTTTCCTTATTGAGATCAGAAAATTTTGTTAACTCAAAAATCAAAATGTTTGGAGAATACAAATGTCCCAAAATAATTTAAACTAAGAACTTTGGGAAGTAATTGCTTATAAACAGTTTGTTTAGGATGACACATTGCTGTTAACACACCTCTCTGCAGGAGCGAAAAGGAGAAGAATTAGCTATATCTTCAGTGAAATAAAAGATGCCAAGTTTTAACTTATTCTATAAAAAAATAAGAAAAGTCAGACATAAGCAAGCTGCACCACTGAAAAGGAATCTTATCTCATTTATTGCCTTAAAAGGACAGATAAGAGTAAAGGTCTGTTTTCTCTGTTCACAGATAAGTGTGCCTCTGATGATTCAAAGGAGAAAACGCTAAAGATTGATAACAAAAACTACCATATATGGCAATTCTAGTACACTTTTGGGACTTGCTTTTTTAATATAAAAAGTTGCTGGGATATCAGAGAAGTTTCTGATCCAGGACAGAATAATCACTATGTTTGCTAAATTATTCAAACCAACATTGCACAGTGGTTACCAATGCAAGTGCTTAGGTTTGGATCCCAGCCTTGCCACCCAGTAGTTTGTGTATGTTTCGAGAGCAATTTTAATAACATCTGAGCCTCAATTTCCTCACTTGTATAATGAGAGAAAAATTGTGTCACAGTGTTGTCACAAAGATTAAATAAGTTATTACATGTGATTGTTTAGAATGTTGCCCATATGGAAATAGTCCATGAGTATTAGTTCAGGATAGTTTCTAAAATCCTGTAGATTCATGTAGCTTAAAACTGTATTTCACTTCCTGTGTATATGTAATTCTTATATCAACAAACTCCTTAGTCTAGAAGTGTGGCTTCTATTTATAACTATATTTTATGTAAGCAGAATAGATAGCCACCTTACGGATTCAACGTTAAGGAAATCTGAAGGTCATTAATGTCAACCCTTAACAACTCTCTCTTCAGAATAAATTTATAAATGAGGGAGAAAATTATTTTTTCATTTTTCCAATTCTTAAAATTCAATATTTTATATTTATATCTTTGTACAAAGACTTTTTTCCTCTGACAAAATACAAATATGTTGGAAAATATACTGATTTATCAATCAGCATGCTTTAATATATATCAACACATAATTTCCTATTCGTATACTAGAATTTACTTACTTTGGGATTGTTTTTTTTCTTCCTCTTTCTGAAAATTAGAGTCTTAAAACCATTAAGACGTGATAGGTCCACATCTGGTGGTAGGCAGGGGAAATGCCATTATCCTAATCCGGAGTCTCAGAACCCCAGCAAGGTAAGGAATGCATCTATATGGAAGGGCTGCCCAGTGTGAGGAATCAGAGAACAAATGGGGTGAGCAGCCATGTACATGGGAGGGAAACCCACTTGAGGTGTCAGAGCCTGGGCAGGATGTGGAGCAAAAGCACTCATGTAGTTGGCCTAGTATGGGAATTAGAGCCAGAATGAGATGAGAAAGGGATTGTATTAGTTCGTTTTCATACTGCTGTAAATAACTACCTAAAGGCCAAGTGTGATGGCTCACACCTGTAATGCCAGCACTCTAGGAGGCTGAAGTGGGGGATCACTTGAGGCCAGGAGTTTTAGATCAGCCTGGCCAATGTGGTGAAACCCCATCTCTACTAAAAATACAAAAAAAGTAGCTGGGTGTGGTGGCGGGTGCCCGTAATCCCAGCTACTCAGGAAGCTGAGGCAGGAGAATTGCCTGAACCTGGGAGGCGGAGGTTGCAGTGAGCTGAGATCACACAACTGCACTCCACCTGGGGTGACAGAGCAATACTCTGTCTCAAAAAAAAAAAAAAAAAAGAGACCTGAGACTGGGTAATTTATTAAGAAAAAGAGGCTTAATTGACTCACAGTTTCTCATGGCTGGGGATGATGCCTCAGGAAACTTACAGTCATGTTGGAAGGCAAATGAGAAGGAAGGCGCTTCTTACATGGTGGCAGGAGAGAGAGAGTGAGGAGGAAAGTGCCACACTTTTAAACCATCACATCTCATGAGAACTCACCATCACAAGAATAGCATGGGGAAAATCTGCCTTCATAGTCCAATCACCTCCCACGAGGTCCTTCCTCTGACATGTGGGGAATACAATTCATGAGATTTGGGTCGGGACACAGAGTCAAACCATGTCAGGTATCTAGGTGCAGGCTTTCAGAGCCAAAAGACAGTGTCCATATATAGGGAACTGTTGGTATGGATGGTCAAAGTCCAAGGGTGGTGAAAACATCCTTGCAGAGGATGAGAACATACAATACTAATGAGATAGGTTAATTTCAAATAATTTGATTATATACATAATTATATCAAAAATAATGACAGACTGATTTCCTTCTGTTGGAAGAGTTTCAAATATGTAGAAGAAGAAACTAATAAACTCTCTGTAGGTATATTGGAATACATTATTTGCAATACATAAAGGTAGATACAAAAATAGATACAAATATAAATTAGCATGTAAATATACATGTATGTGTGTACATGTGCATGCACATAATTTGGCTCCTAAATAACTTTCTCTACTAAAGGAACTAGGGCTGCCCTGAAGAGCCTAATGACTCTGGAGCAGAAGCAAGAAATTATAAGAAGTTTCTGAAAACCCTTGTATTGCCAGAAAGCAAAGAATTATGTAAACAAGGCAGGGAGCATATTAGCAGGAACAGAGGTCATTAAAAGGATTCCAACTCGTAAAACATGGGAAATAATTAATATCAAAATAAATAACAGTAGTAATGGATTACAATCCTTGCCATAAGGTAGAGTACCATGAATATGTTCTTAAATAATTTATTAAACAAATAAATTGAAGGATTAATGAAGAATGAACATTTACATAGTTTCAAAATTCCACTCCACAAAATGCTGATTGATTATGATAGAGAAGGAAAAACTTTATGGTGGATTACCCTGGCCAAAAGTCACCTTAACCGAGTGATTAAAATGAACATCATATTTAATAGGGTAAAATAAAATTGTGCACTACCTGATAGGACGCAATGAAAATAACACATTATTGTTTCTGTGTTCCTACGAAAGATGCATAACCTGAATCTAATTATAAGGAAACAGCAAATAAATTCATGTTGAGTGAAATTCTACAAAACAACTCCCATATAATATGAAAAATACCAGGGAACAATTTTAGAAAATAGCCCTGGTAATAAAATTGAGAAAAAGTTTAGGAAATAGCCCTGTTAATATAGAGACTGAAGAGACATTTTGACTAGAGGAATGATTTGATTCTGAAGTAAATTCATTTGATATGAAGACAATATTGTGACATTTGGAAACATTTTAATGGTGTCTGATAATTAAATAGTAATGTATCAATGTTAATTCTGGATTTGGTGGTTTTGTTGTGATTATGTTAAAGACTGTCCTTGTTTATAAGAAATAACTACTCAATAATTCAGAGGAATAAAGTAACATGTTGACAATACTACCAAATAATTTGAGATACACAAATTTATAAAGTTAGAGAGAAAGAGGAACTGAGAGAAAGAAGGGTAAGATAATGAATTTACTTCATTCTTGATGGGAGGCTATGAATTGAGGGTGCAGAAATAAAGTGAAGAAATAAGCCAGGCATGCTATATTGTGCTTGTAATCTTAGCTACTTGGGAGGCTGAGGCAGGAGGATCACTTGAGGCCAAGAGATTGAGAACAACTGAGCAACATAGGGAGACCCTGCATCTTAAAAAAATAATTTAAAAAAAAAGGAAGAAAGAGAAAACAAATTCCAAGAATTTTATAAATTTACTGAGAATAGCCTATCCTTTTACATCTTTATTCACATTAACTTGAACTGCTATAGGCTTATAGATTGATAAATAATCAATAGTCATATACAATTTAGAGGTTATAAAAGGTTTCTTAGCTGTTGTGTAATATCTTCTGTATACAATTTTAAGGCAGACATTGGAATCCAAAGTTAAATAAAACTTCAGGAAATTCCAGCTCAGATAGACAGAATAAGTTATTATGTCTTTTCAACCTACTCATCTGACAAAGGGCTAATATCCAGAATCTACAATGAACTCACACAAATTTACAAGAAAAAAACAAACAACCCCATCAAAAAGTGGGTGAAGGACATGAACAGACACTTCTCAAAAGAAGACATTTATGCAGCCAAAAAACACATGAAAAAAATGCTCACCATCACTGGCCATCAGAGAAATGCAAATCAAAACCACCATGAGATATCATCTCACACCAGTTACAATGGAGATCATTAAAAAGTCAGGAAACAACAGGTGCTGGAGAGGATGTGGAGAAATAGGAACACTTTTACACTGTTGGTGGGACTGTAAACTAGTTCAACCATTGTGGAAGTCAGTGCAGCTATTCCTCAGGGATCTAGAACTAGAAATACCATTTGACCCAGCCATCCCATTACTGGGTATATACCCAAAGGACTATAAATCATGCTGCTATAAAGACACATGCACACGTATGTTTATTGCAGCACTATTCACAATAGCAAAGACTTGGAACCAACCCAAATGTCCAACAATGATAGACTGGATTGAGAAAATGTGGCACATATACACCATGGAATACTATGCAGCCATAAAAAATGATGAGTTCATGTCCTTTGTAGGGACATGGATGAAATTGGAAATCATCATTCTCAGTAAACTATTGCAAGGACAAAAAGCCAAACACCGCATGTTCTCACTCATAAGTGGGAATTGAACAATGAGAACACATGGACACAGGAAGGGGAACATCACACACCAGGGCCTGTTGTGGGGTGGGGAGAGGGAGGAGGGATAGCATTAGGAGAAATACTTAAGGTTAAATGGTGAGTTAATGGGTGCAGCACACCACCATGGCACATGTATACATATGTAACTAACCTGCACATTGGGCACATGTACCCTAAAACTTAAAGTATAATAATAATAAAATAAAAATAATTAATTAAAAAAATTTTTTTTTAATTGTTTTAAATTTTTTCAGACAAAATCTCATTCTGTTACCCAGGTTGGAGTGCAGGGGTGTGATCTCAGCTCACTGCAATCTCTGCCTTTTGGCTTCAAGGGATGCTCATGCATCAGTCTCTTGAGTAGCTGGGACTAGAGGCACATGCCACTACACCTGGCTAATTTTTTGTAATTTTAGTAGAGATGGGGTTTCACCATGTTGGCCAGACTGGTCTCAAACTCCTGACCTCAGGTAATTCACCTGCCTCAGCTTTCCAAAGTGCTGGGATTACAAGTGTGAGCCACCATGCCCAGCCTATTATGTTTTGTCTGAGCATTTTCTGTCATGCCATTTTTTTCCTATGTGACTGTTTAAATAAATTGCCATGACATAGTGCAACAAAGAAATATGAGGAATTAAAACATACCTTATAATGTAATGGAAGACATTACTTTAGAAAAGGAATAATTTTAATGTATCATAATACTGATCTATTTAAAGAGTAATATTTAGAGTGTCACCCAAAGTAAAACTACTTGAGTTTACATTCTAAGTCGAATATTTAATTGTTATGCAATTTGGAACTCTTCGTTTAAACTTTCTAAGACTCAATTTCCTCATCTGCAAAAGGAAACTAATAATGCTATTTCATTCATAGAATTGTGGTAAAGCTTAAATAAATTAACACATTTAAAGAATTTAGCTCACAGCTTGGCAGATGATATACCAAATACTTATAGATATTATATTATTATGAATGTTGTAATTAAGATAGATTTTGATGTAATGATAATTGTTGATGCACTTCTAGCTCTTACTGCTGAGAAATTATTCAGTGAGTTATTCCAACCCAGAAACACTATGAAATGATAAGTGAACTGATATAAGGATAAAATTTGCTAAAGTAATTATGTGTTTGCTATTGCATAAATGAGAACACAACAAATGAAGTAACTGCATTTTAAGATTAATTTGTAATTTATACTGTCTAGATTTGTTTTTTGTTTGTTTGTTTGTTTTGTTTTGAGATGGATTGTCACTCTGTCACCCAGGCTGGAGCACAGTGGCACAATCTCGGCTCACTGCAACTTCTGCCTCCCAGGTTCAAGCAATCCTCCTGGCTCAGCCTCCCTAGTAGCTGGTACTACAAGCACACACCACCATGCATGGCTAATTCTTGTGTTTTTAGTAGAGACAGGGTTTCACCATGTTGGCCAGGCTTGTCTTAAACTCTTGACCTCGTGATCCACCCAGCTCAGCCTCCCAAAGTCCTGGGATTGCAGGCATGAGCCACAGCATGCAGCCTGGATTTTAATTACTTAAACTTTTGCTGTATTTCATGAATATAAATAATGAAGAATTTGAATGTAATACATTAATAACTTTTCAATAATATTCTGTAAGTGCAGCCTTCTTAATTGATATGCCTTGGTTGTGTCCCCACCCAAACATCATCTTGAATTGTAGTTCCCATAATCCCCACGTGTCATGCAAGGAAACTGGTAGGAGGTAATTAAATCATGGGGGCAGTTATCACCATGCTGCTGTTCTCCTGATAGTGAGTGAGTTCTCATGAGACCTCATGGTTTTATAAGTAGCTCTTCCCCTTTTTCTCAGCATTTCTCCTTCCTGCCACCCTTTGAAGCAGGTGTCTTTCTTCCCCTTTGCTCTCTGCCATGACTGTAAGTTTCCTGAGGATTTCCCAGTCATGCAGAACCGTGAGTCAATTAAACCTCCTTTCTTTATAAATTACTCAGTCTTGGGTATTTCTTACAGCAGCATGAGAATGAATTAATACAGTAAATTAGTACTGAGGGAGTGGGGAATAAAGATAAGAATACCCAGAAATGTGGAAGCAACTTTGGATCTGGGCAGACGTTGGAATATTTGGAGGACTCAAAGAAAGACAGGAAGATGTGGGAAAGTTTGTCACTTTTTAGAGACTTGTTGAATGGCTTTGACCAAATGCTGATAGTGATATGGACAATAAAGTTGAGGCTGAGGTGGAGATGAAAAACTTGTTGGGAACTGGAGTAAGGGTCACTCTTGCTGTGCTTTAGCAAAGAGACTGGTAGCATTTTGCCTCTATCTAGAGATCTGTGGAACATTACATTTGAGAGAGATGATTTAGGGTATCTTGCAGAAGAAATTTCTATGCAGCAAAACATTCAAGAGGAAGCAGAACACAAAAGTTTGGAAAATTTGCAGCCTGATGATGTAATAGGAAAAAACAAACAAACAAACAAACAAAAAAACATTTTCTGGGGAGAAATTCAAGCCTGCTGCAGAAATTTGCATAAGTAGCTAGGAGAAAACTGTTAATCACCAAAACAATGGGGAAAATGGCTCCAGGGCATTTCAGAGACCTTCAAGCAGCCCCTCCCATTACAGGCCTGGGGGCCTAGGAGGAAAAAATGATGTCCTTCTGAGTCCAGGGCCCCCTGCTGTGTGCAGCCTCAGGACATGTTGCCCTGCATCCCAGGTGCTTCAGCTCCAGCCATGGCTAAAAGGGGCCAAAGTACAGCTTGGGCCATTGCTTCAGTGGGTGCAAGCCCCAATCCCTGGTGGCTTCCATGTGATGTTGAGCCTGTGGGTACATAGGAGTCAAGAATTGAAGTTTGAGAACCTCTGTCTAGATTTCAGAGGATGTATGGAAATGCCTGGATGTACAGGCAGAAGTTTGCTGCAGGGGTGGAACCCTCATGTGGAATCTCTGCTAGGGCAATGTGGAAGATAAATGTGGGGTTAGAGCTCCCACATAGAGTCCCCACTGTGGCACTATCTAGTGAAGCTGTGAGAGGAGGGTCAGTCTCCTCCAGACCCCAGAATGGTAGATCCACTGACAACTTGCACCATAAGCCTGGAAAAGCCATAGACACTCAACACCAGCCTGTGAAAACAGCTGGGAGGAAGCTGCATCCTGCAAAGCCACAGGGTCTGTGCTGCCCAAGGCCATTGGAACCTACCTCTTGCATCAGCGTGACCTGGATGTGAGACATAGAATCAAAGATTATTTTCAAACTTTAAAGTTTGATGAATGCCCTATTGGATTTAAGATTTGCATGAATCCTGTAGCCCCTTTGTTTTGGCCAATTTCTCCCATTTGGAATGGGTGTATTTACCCAATGCCTCTCCCCTCATTGTATCTAGGAAGCAACTTACTTTCTTTGGTTTTACAGACTCATAGGCAAAAGGAAATTTTCTTTTCTTAGATGAGACTTTGGACTTGGACATTTGGGTTAATGCTGGAATGAGCTAAGAGTTTAGGAGACTGCTAGAAAGGCATGATTGTGTTTTGAAATGTGAGGACATGAGATTTTGGAGGTGCCAAGGTTGAAATGACATGGTTTGTCTGTATCTCCACCCAAATCTCATCTTGAATTATAATTCCCATAATCACTACATGTTTAGGGAGGGATCCTATGGGAGGTAATTGAATCATGGGGGTGGTTACCCCCCATGCTGTTCTTGTGACAGCGAGTGAGTTCTCAGGAGACCTGGTGGTTTTATAAGGGTCTTTTTCCTCTTTGCTTGTCACTTCTTCTTCCTGCCATCCTGTAAAGAAGCTATCTTTCTTCCCCTTCTCCTTCCACCATGATTGTAAGTTTCCAGAGGCCTTTTCAGCCATGAAGAACTGTGAGTCAATTAAAACTCTTTTCTTCATAAATTAGCCAGTCTCCAGTATTTCTTCATAGCAGCATGAGAATGAATTAATACATTAATTATCCTTGAGAACACTTTCATAGTAAAGTAAACCTTATGAAAGAATTATTGCATCAGTATTTTTTTATTCTGTTAAAGATTTTCTAAAGTTTAAACATTAGAGTTATTGTTCTGGGGACTTAAGAAAAAATAAAAGTACAAAGAAATTATTCTCACCAAGAAGCTAAGGATTTGAGATCATTACAATTAAATGGGCTCCATGTCTGAAAGTGAGGTCAGATCTTTAAGGTTTGGGATTTCTCTTTTTCTTGTTAATTGTGACTTCCTTTCTGGGAAAATCATAGCCACAAAAGCCTCATAATAAAAGACTCTACAGGCTTTCCAGTCAGCAAATAGGTCTTAGAAAAAGAGCACTTTTACCATTTAAGTGTGAATAAATTGAAATCATTCCCTTAGCATATAAAAACTGTTATAAATAAAAGGACTAGCAATCAATTGGTACTGTTTTTCAGAATTTTGATAAGCAAAAATGGTTATATATATATATATATATAAACATACAGATACACACACATATATTCAAAAGCAATATATATTGATATATATGTGTGTGTATATATATATATATATATGCAAAAATGATGACACAATGGAATATATGGTATACCTAACCTACCCTAAGTAAGGCACCAATTAATCAGCTCAAATAATTTGGAAAAAGTAAAGAAGAAAATAAAATTTTTTCTGAGGAATGTGAGCCCCTTTAAATTATCAGTTCTAGAAAGGCAATGGAATAAAACGGCAGTTATGTCACTCCCCCTTAAGCTAAAAAACACTCTTGAAGCCACTAGCTATATGGGCTCTAGAATAAATGATGCCCAGAAGCCATAAAATGCTATTTGCCTGATACCATAATTCATACTCTATTGTTTAACAATGTATGACCAATCACTAATCAATGTGATTTCTGCAATCCAGTGAGGATTCTTGTCAAATAACTTTGTATTAGCCCACTTCTTGTTCCCTTTGTCATGAAGTCCATTCCTCTCACAGTATCTTGTCTACTAGAGACCAGGTTTAGATTAAAGGCAGTGAAAACTGAGTGGAATGTTTTTCTTTCTATAAAAATGTTAAACAATGTGCAATAGAAAGCATAATATTATATTACAGAATAAAAACTGTGTTTCAATTGGGCTCTTACACTACTATATTATTGTGCTGAACCTTAGTTTTATTTACTGGAATATAAGATGCTAAATAGAACCCTAGTCAGTAAAAGAGTGTTCACTTCCTTCCTGGCATAAGGATTTGTGTATTTATCTTTTTTAAATGTATCATGACTTAGTCTGCTATTCAAATTGTCTAATAAGACATGTTATTATCTGGTAAAGAAGTGTTAGGCATTTTTGAAAAGCACGGAATAGATATTTTCTGGTGAGAGGCTAAGGATCAAAAAATTACTTGAGGGACAAAATAAAAAATAGGACCTAGGAGAGCTGATTTTTATTTCCATTTCTTCCACTGTTTCACCCTGCTAGACCCTGGTATCTACTTTATAACACTTAATTCTAATACTCAAACCATGCTCAATACACAGAACATACTGGTAATGTAATCTAAAATATTTAATACTTGCTATAAAAAAGACCCAGAACATGAAACCCTGATATGAGTTATAAATATTATAAGTAAATTTAAGTATACTAATACAAATATGTAGGAGTAATAAAAATAAATAATTTAACATTATTACCATAAAAACATTTAAGCAATTTTTTAAAGCAAAAAGTAAAATAATGTATTTTGAATTACTTATTAAATGTAGTTATTTGTTTTACTTATAAATAACACAACCATTCTGAAAAGTTGCTGAAAATAAAATCACTTTATTTTTTCAAAAAATAATTGAAGCAAAATAGCAAAAAACAATTTCAGTGTTCCAGGAAAAATTTTCTTCTGGATGATGAATACAGAGTTTTAAAGTTTACATAGAATGTGGCATGAATATTTATTTTACTTAGAGAATGTAAATGCTATTTTTATGTATTAATGATTTACATTGCTTATTTTATACATTACAATTTAATATATTTTATTCATTGCAATATTTTACACACCAAAATATGGAGGTTTATTTTGTGATCATTATGATAAAAAGCATTTATTATTCAAATAAATTATCCTGGAACAATATATGCTTTTGATATTGATGGCTGTAAATAGGACCCCATATATCTACTCATAATAATCATTCCCCCAATATTGTCACTTAACATTTCCTCTATAAAATAAAAAGGTAAGGTAGAAATTGTTCATGCCTTTCAGTCATCTATATTACACAAAACTTATCTTTAATTATTGTAAACATAACTACATTTTACCCGACATAGATAAAAATAGATCAGATAAACAGGACTTTACCCCCACCTCGAGAATTTGGAAGCAATCTAACCTGTTCAGTGTCCAAAGCTTTTAATATGGCTTCTCATATATTTATGAAAACTCCTCACCAGACTGTAAGGCAGAACACAAAGCAACATCCCAGCACCTGTCAGGCATGACTGACTGAGCAGCCACCAGAATCAGTCTTCATACCCTGCCAGTTTCCATCCCTGAGAATCTAAGGGAAATGAGATTCCAGCTGCAGCTGAATTCAGAGGTAGACTGACTTTCTAACCATCCAGAGGACACTGAAATGTGTTTGCCTGACTAAAAGCTAAATATATCAAGACTCTCCTGCTCATTTGCTTACTCTGAACACTGAATTAAAGCCTCTATTCTGGTTATCTGAAACTCTTCCCTCTCACCTCCAATTACTTTGTTCTTCGTTTAACCAAAATTCTTAGACTTTCTTTCTTTTCAGTATGTCTTCTTCAGCTCCTTATTAAGGCATAAAATCATCTACTTCTTTAATGTTTCTTTGCTTAAAATAAAATCTACTGTTCCACTAAAGACTTTATCATCCCAGGGGTTGTTACAAAAAAAGGAGGCTGCCCTTCGATTACACCAAAAACACCTCAGGTTTGCCACAGAAATGTGTATTAGGTTTTGCTGGTGAGCTCTTTGGCCTTCAATCACTCTTATCCTTATCCCAAAACACCAGTCAGGCAATTTGACTGCTCTTCTTTAAACATAAAACAAACAAGCAAAGCAATCATGTTAAGATCATGTCATTTAGCTGTGCTACTCTCTACTTCTTAAAAATATTTGAAACTATTTTGTCATCTACTAATAATAATATCTTTGAATAGATATAACAATGTCACTTATTAAAGGCCTTGCAACATGGATCAAGTGTTTCTGCCCACCCACAAGCACAGACCTGATCTGTATGAATGACCAATTCCATACCAGGGCTTATCATTTTCTATGTCTGCTTATCACTTCTGCTCTTGGATCGACCTACCACACCCACAGTCACAACTCCAAACTGCTAAACTTCCCAAAGTTTCAGTAATTCCTGGACCTATAGTCTTTTGCTACAATTACATATTCTCAAATCTCTCAGCCTCTTTTTGGTCTGATGTTCCATTCTATACATTATGAAGTCCCTGGTTGATCTATTAACTATCATTTTACTGAGACATCTACCATTTTAGTGTGATTCTCATTCTGTTCTTATAGTATCTCTGTGATGATTAATACTGAGTGTCAACTTGATTGAGTTGAAGGATACAAAGTATTAATCCTGCGTGTATCTGTGAGGGTGTTGCCAAAGGAGATTAATATTTGAGTCAGTGGTCTGGCAAAGGCAGACCCACCCTTAATCTGAGTGGGCACCATCTAATCAGCTACCAGTGTGGCCAGAATATAAAAGCAGGCAGAAAAAGATGAAGAGCCTAGACCAGCTTAGGCTCTCAGCCTACATCTTTCTCCTGTGATGAATGCTTCCTGCCCTTGAACATCAGACTGCAAATTCTTCAGCTTTGGGACTCGGACGGGTTTCCTTGCTCCTCAGCTTGCAGATGGTCTATTGTGGGACCTAGCAATTGTGTGAGAACCCCTGGTTTATGAAAATACCTTCCAAGGAATTTCTCAAAGCATGAGGATCTTTAAGGAATCAATTTTAAATCTTCTCTTCTATTTGTACTTACTCTTTTCTCACTTGCTCTGCTTGAGAAGGCCCTCAAGAATAACTTTATTTCCACCTTAATAAATAAAACCTTATCTCTATCTCTTCTTGAGACTCAATTTGATACATTTATCAAGAGGTAAAACCTTAAAACAAAGGGACTATTTTAAATTTTGATGTTTGAGAAGCCTGTTCTCTCAAGCCAACGTATACTTCTGTGTGACTTGAATTCTTTCCATGTGTTACGCATATAATTGTTAAAAGGGAAGCATGGCACTACAGATGAGATAGTTTGACCTCTGTTTGGATATTCTGAGTACACACATAATAGCATAAGGGAGCAGGATTTTTGACAGTTTTCATTTAATGCGCTTGGCTTGTCAACTTCCAATATTACAAAAGGTTTTATAGCTTCTGAGGAATAATCCTGAAACAACACAAGGGGAAGACATTGAAAATAGCTTTCACTCATCAGCTTCTCTCTTTATTTATTTATTCTACTTACATACTTACTAGAATAGTTCTAACAGAATATGCTTTTCCTCTATGGCAACTAACATATCAAACATTAAATACTTTCTGTAGGTTTCACACTTACTAGAGGCCACATACATTTTGTTCGTAAATGTTTACAGATTAACATCATTCTAGTAATAAATACTATTTGTACATGAACACAAAATAATTGAAAGAGAGCATTCCTATAAAGGCCATTTTTGATGCATTTCCCATATAATTTTATTTGTGTTTATTACTTTAATCAGTCTCTCTAATACATTTATATTTTAATTAGCTTTTATTAATATTCACAATAATGATTTAATCCTGAAGATGCTTGGTTAGAAGTTTATAGTCCAAGGAAAAATTTTAAATGTACTAAATTTCATTTTACATAGTTTTTTATAACATAGTATGATATATTGCACAGAAATTGGCAAGCAAAAAATATATATTATATTAGGATAAAATACTTGTAGGCTGGAAGTATGTATTTAGGAGATCAAGGAGAAAATGAGTAATCCAGAATCTCTAACTTAAACAAAATTAATTCATGCATTTTTTAAATGAATTATTATGAAGATATGAAATGACAGTAAGAATAGTTTGTGTGTTTCTAATAAAATTTATATTTAGAGAAGTTTTAAGTTCACAGCAAAATTGAGTAGAAAGGACAAAGAGTTTCCATATAGCCCCATTTTTTATTATGCAATATTTCAGAGACAGAGAACAAAAATTAATATAACAAATAAGTACATATATATACATATATATTAGATACAGAGAAAAGATGGGAAAGCACAAAAATAAAATGATTAAGTACATTTTCTTGGCCCTCAGAGAAAACTACCATTAAAAGTGTATTCTTTAGGATCTTTTCCTATGTTTGTATAAACATATATATTTTACAAATTGATATTGTACTTCACATAATATCTCCAGGCATTTTTTAGTTAACAATAATCATTTTTCATGGCTATGTTTTTTCAGTTTCCAATACCCATTCCATGTCCACATTTTTCCAATTGTCCTAAAAATATTCTTGTAACAGCTTTTTTATCCCCAAATGATATACAATTTAGTACAGTATCAGATTTTATATTAACATTGTTTTGTTCTCCAGCAAATGCATCCCCACCAATAAGACTGCCAAAGAAAATTAGGATACATAATTAAATTTGAATTTCCAGTGAGTAATAACTATTAGTTTGTTATAAGTATTTCCCAGGTATAAAAATGGATTATGAAAATATTTGTAAGACTAGGATTGTATTTTGTTGTTTTAATTATCATTGCCATTGTTATTATTTCTATTATTATATTGCTGCTAAATATGTACAGAAAGCATGCTTACATTTATTTTACATCTTTCAGATCAGAATTTTATTACTTTTATGGTCAAAATAATTATATGTCCAGGCCCCAAAATTGTTGTCTATTCCTAGTATTTAAATGGATAAAATGCCAGTAGCAGTTAATATATTAAGGTTCTCAATTTCCATATTTTTTGTTGTGATTAATATTTATTATTTTAAGATGAAGTGTTGCTCTGTCACCCAGGCTAGGAGTGCAGTGGTGCAATCTCGGCTCACCGCAATCTCCACCTCCTGGGTTCAAGCGATTCTCCTGCCTCAGTCCCCTGAGTAGCTGGAATTACAGGTGCACACCATATGCCTAGCTAATATTTGCATTTTTAGTAGTGATGGGGTTTCGCCATGTTGGCCAGACTGGTTTCAAACTCCTGAGCTCAGGTGATCCGCCTGCCTCGGCCTCCCAAGGTCTTGGAATTGCAGGCGTGAGCCACTGAATTCGGCCAGTAATTATATTACTATTCTTAACCTGGATTCAAGGCCTATATATTTCCTAAATTCTTACAAAATTTAACACTTCTATTAGTCGCTTTCTTACTTTTTATTTGGATGACAATTTGACTGGACAACAATGTCATGTGTCCCATTTGTTCTCCCTCAAAACTTTGTAGAACTGACTCCAGAGTTTTTTGACCTCAAATGTGCTGTTGGATGTTTTCCCATCTGTTCAAGAACAAATATGTCTTGAATTCTTAACTTCACCTCAAAATTAAGTAAATATGCTAGGTTTTCTCTTGTTGTTTACAAGTTAAATATGTAAGTGCCTTTCAAAATAATTAACGTGTATTTGTTCGGAGGAGACCAGATGCAAGTTGAAACTTCATCAGTTTTAATTTGTTATCCTGCTTATTAACGACCCCATCCATTATATTCTTCATTCCAGATGGGCCATCTTCCCTCATTTTCCCCTTTTCATTGGATCAGTAAAGTTCAAGAAAAAAAAAAACAAACAAAAAAACACCCTTTAGTCTGAATCCTCAGGATTGTAATGTAAGTGATGTTATCTCTTCTTTCTATACTTCACTCAAATAAAGAAATCTCAGTATACACAGAGTGATTTGTTAGACAGTAATGATAGAAGGTTTTCTAGCTTTATTCCTGCAGTTCTGCCATGTGTTGTTTTGCACGTCTATGGGAACAGAATATTTTTTCTGTTCCCTCCATCATTCACTTGAAAACAAAAGTTTGAGAGAGCCTAAATCATTTCCCATCTTTCAGTAAAGATTTGCTTTAAAATTTCTGAGTTTTAGATTATTTTAGTTAGTAAGAGCCATTTCGATTTTAGTTGAAGTTAGCATTTATGATTTTTTTGCACTTTTTATAATATTTTCAATGTTTTTTAAAGACATAAAATGGGATAAAATATCTTTATGTTGAATGTTCATTGCATTTTACTTTGACATTATTTTAATTATTATAATTCATCATGGAAGAAACAGAGGCTAGTTTGATAAAATACTTTATTGAAAAATTAATAGTATCACCCTAATCCAGTCTTTCTGACCAACCCTCACCATGACATCTCCTTTCCCTTTATTCATGGCAACCAAAATTAAAGTTGTTTTTTTTTTACTTTACATATATTTATTTATACTTACACAAATATAACACATGTATACATACAAATACATTTAACAGTTTTTAAGAGAACAAGTTAAAATTAGAAAATACTCTGTAAGTTGCATATTATAAACACATGTGCACCAGTACATCTGGCTTATTTGCGTGTTAATACATAGCCATATATAATTATTTTAATAGCCTTGTAATATTTTATTGCAGAATTATTAATTAGCTTTTGCAGTAATAACAAATAACTACTGAAGCTCTGTGTATTAAATCAACAAAATGTTATATTTCTGACTCATTTTATACTAAAGCTACAGTCAACTGCAGCTCTGCTTCAGGCTGCTAGTCACTTGCTTGTCTGTTCCATGTACGTTCTCATTCCATGATCAAGGCTGAAGGATAAGCCTCTAAAATGTGTTGTACACATAGCAAAAGGCAGATTGAAAGGTGCTGAGTGAAATCAAACAACTGAATATAAAGCTTTCCTTAGACAAGGTATAGGTAACATTTGTCAAATTCCTTTTGCCAAAGTCACGTGGCCAAACATTATATAATGAGTCATATATGAATATAATGTAATTATTCTAACCATTTCTCTAATGGTATCCATTCAAGTTGTTTTTGGGTTTTGTTTTTCTCTCTCCCCCACACCCGTTTATTTTATTTTATGTCTCCTCTTTTATCAGTTCATACTACAATAAAAATTTTTAAATATACCTCCTAAGGTGACATATTTAATTATATAAAGTAGAGTTGGATGAGCATGATTGCCTAGTAAAAGTCTTTGGAAATCATATAATAAAGAGGTACATCCAGAATCCAAAAATGTTGTAGAAATTTCACCCTTTAATATTGTCTATTTAATTAATGACAATGTTGTGAATACTGTGGCCTTTTTTCTGTATTGCTTATATGCCCTTTACTCACGATTCCAAGTTTTCTTTCTTAGTGTAATGACTTCTAAATAGTCTATACAGTACTGATACTTACAAGTAATAAGGTTAACATTTATTGAACATTTACCATGTGTCATGCATAATGCTAATTTATATAATTGTAAGTAAAGCTGTAAGTTAGCTGTGTATACTTCAATTTTTATCATCATTCTTAAATGAGAATTTCATATATTGTATCACAAAAATAATAAATTAATTCATAAAATAAACCATGCAATCTATCCTAGAACTTACTCTTTTAAATTCAACATGATACTATATGCTGGCATGTAATTTTTATTGGCATAGCAATCCAACTTCAGACTTACATGTTTTGCATATTTTCTCCTATCTTAGAGTTATTTTTGTTTTCATTTACATAGTCTTTGCTTTACAGAAAATTTATCATTCATTTAAAATCGGTATGTAACCCAGTCCTCTTGTTTTCATATAATTCCCATACTTATTTTTGAAGAAATAAAATGCTTGTCAGTTTGTTTTACATTTAACTTGCTAATCAATTTGAAATTTACTTTAGAGATTGTATAATTATGTTCTGTTTTATAACCGATATATACTCAATTATTCTAAAACATTTTAAAATAAAGCAGCATAATTCAATTCAATTTAAATTTAATTGAATATCAACATATTATAATTGTTGATATTTATTAGGGTTCTCTCATAGTATATGTTAATGAACATTGAACATTTTCTTCATTTTTTTATGCTATATTTCTTAGAAATTGCAATGTTCTTTTGTATGAACTATAAAATTATTGGGACCAGTTTTTAACATAACTTCTTAAAATGTTGTGCAAATATAGTATTATATTAATTTGACAAAAACTCAACATTTTTATAATACAAAATCATGTGAGTGAGGAATGTGTTTCTGAGTTTATTTAGATCTGTTTTCTGCCTTCACCGTAACGCCATAGATTTATTTTCATTATTTGTTTACTTATCTTTATAAATTCTATCTTTATATTTTGTAATCTATAAACTAACTACAAATTTAACCACTAATTAGTGCACTTTATAGAAATGTGTGCAAGCAAAAATGATATGGTTGATTTGTGCTGTTCATCTTTCTGTATTTGATCAGAAGACTGTAGTTTATTATTCATAACTCCCTTTTTCTAGTAGTCATTCTCTAAAACCCCTTTCTTCTACAGTACCACAGTGAGTTATGATACTTCTATAACTACGAACATAGTTCTATAACTATGAACATAGTAATTTATGCCTTAATATTTTGATACTTTTTGTTAATTAATATAAACAAATTTGTATCCATATGATTTATCTTCTTGGTATATCTATTTGTATTTTTAATTGATAGTAATTTCAAGAAACAATATATTTTCTTTAATTTTAAGCCAGATTTAATTTAAAAACACAATCCCCATTTTTTTCTTAGGCAGTATTTTTCTGTGGCTGTGGAATTCTAGAAAACATGTTATTTTCCTACAGCAATCAAGGTAAACTGTGGCCTTGGTATTCCCAGGCAGTAATAAATAGAACAATATTGAGAAATTGCATTTATGAAAGAGGTTGATAGGTGGATGAAGTAGACAAGATACATAGGAATATATTTTCCTTTCTTTTTTCATAACTAATTTTACAAATATACATTTTGATTCTTCATGTGTTTTAAGAAGTATAAACTGTCATATTTTACACTGTTGACAACAATGCTAAACTGATTTTTTCAAGGGAAAACAAATCATAAAATTGTGGAGAAGCAGTAAGTAGTGCAAAAAGAAGTGATTCAGTAGAGGGAAACTGGGAAATAGAATTGGGTTAAAATAATTAAGTTAATGGAGAATTTTTTTTTTAATTTAACATGAGATAGGAAGATTAAACAATACTCGTGACTAAGTATTCTTTTATTTCATTGAACAGTTTATGAGATAAGAAACCATGAATAAATTCAACATTTGGGAATCTGATTTCATAGTCAAATTATTTCCATTAATAGAAAAAAAGAATGAAGTTTTAATTTTCAGATATTTTTGTGAAGGAATTAATTTTATATTATGAAAGTATTCAAAAATGTAATTTAAAATTTTTAGAGATAAAAATAATTTCCTCTGCTTTTATTTAATACATATTCATATACAAGTCTGTGTTCTTGTCAATTAAACTACTTTCCACTTTTCATAAGCATTTTTTACTATAACCCTATTTTGATTTAAGTCTGGTTTTCTAGGCTACAATACATGTACACACACACACACACACACACACACACACACACAGAAATATGGTATTTTCAAATGTGGAATGACTTCCAATAATGAGCCTTTAAAAAAGCACTTTCTATGTTAAATTTTTACAAAAACCAACAAAACATTCTGATCATTAGTTTTGATCTGGAATATAATAATACATGTATACAATTCAAATGTAATAAAAAGTTCAGCTTTATTGGCAAAATGTATATGATAGACTTTATTATAAACAACAATTATTTTAAATTACTCACAGTTACCTAACGGTTAACTAATATACTTCACATTGCTTAGTTTAGCTTTTACATGCTTTACACAATTAAATATGGGTGGCCTTGGATAAGATGTGAAGAAAACTTAAAATAAAAATTTGACATGATTACTAATTGAACTGATAGGAAAATTGCTTTACATAAATCTAGATGTTGAATGAGAAATTGCATACAACAGTCACTTGTTACTAATATTAATAAAATTCCACTTTTTAAAAAAGTTTCGACTTTTATTTTAGATACAGGGGGTACTTGCGTAGGATTATTATGTACGTATATTACACCCAGCTAGTGAGGATAGTACTCAATCGGTAGTTTTTCAAACCATACTCCCCTCCCTTCCCCCTCTAGTAGTCCATAGTGTCCATTGTTCCCCTGTTTATGTCCATGTGTACTCAGTGTTTACTCCCACTTATAAAGTGAGAACATGTGATATTTGGTTTTTTGTTCCGGCATTAATTCACTTAGTATCATGGCTTGCAGATACATCTATGTTGCTGCAACTAGACCCTTTCCTTTCACCACATGCAAAAATTAACTCAAGATGGATTAAAGATTTAAATATAAGACCTCAAACTATAGAAGCCCTACAAGAAAACTTAGGAAATACTTTTCTCGACATAGGCCTTGGCAGAGCAGTTTTGGCTAAGTCCCTAAAAGCAATTGCAGCAAAACCAAAAACTAACTATTTTGTTTACCTCCTGAAGTTAAAATTTTTGATGATACAGAATAATATGAAAAGTTTAGTTGTTTCTTTATTTTGAATTGCTGTCTCCCCATTTATAACACCTCTACTGATGGAAAGCTGTAACTTGTTTCCATTTCAGCAAGGTGATGTGAAAATTAAATGTTGAGATTTAGAAGCTATGATTTTTTTGTTTGTTGCCATAAAATCAGAGGATGAAGTAAAATTTTACAGATGCAGAATTTATTTTGAAATTTGTTTCTGTAACTCAATAACTTTCTGTGGTAAGTTGCTTTTTTTAAAGAAAATAATTATTTTAAAATTGCAATTTTTCACAATGTTGTAAAATTGTTGCAGTTACTTTAAAGTAGCAAGTGATCTCTTTTCTGTTTGAGACATTTAAAATACTTCTCTGAATACCTCAATGTAACTCTGAGATATCTTGGAAATAGAATTGTTTTGAACTCTTACAAGTTTGATTGATATTTGCAAAATATGTTTCAGTTCCCTGTAGTTGTTTTGTTTTTAGTAAGTGCAAGTTTTCTCATGATTTCTGGATGTTTTTAATGGTCGTACTGTTAAATTATCTGTCATTTAATGAATGCAGTTGTGCTTTCCCATTTCAAAATGTTTAATTGTTTAGTAATTTGTTGAAAGTATGAAATATTTGTACTGCACTACAAATCTTAACCCTGTGGACAATATGTTTTAAAAGATATAATTTAAATTTTATAATTTAAAAAGGTTGAATTTTTTTAACATTTTGAAAATTAACCATACCATACCAAAATTTCCCCATAAGCATTTCTCTTTTGTAGTATTACATAGATAAAGAAATAGCTGCCAGTGGATTTTATTTTACATACTTGTAAATGCTAAGGCTAGAGAATGATAAATGTTGAATTTCTTTTAAGTTGTTTCTTACCACAATTATTAAATTATAAAACTCTCAGTAAGACTGCAGTTTGTTGTACAGCTTATACAAATACGGTACCATTGATAAACTGTAACTTGTGCTTGTTGTTTCAAATTGTTTATTAAATTACTAAAGCTTTCTTTAAAACCAGTAGAGTAAAACTCCTATAATAATGTTTTAGATTAACTTAATAAGCAGGGATTTCTTTACAAACAATAATTGCTTTTGAAAAATAAAACCCCTAATTATTTTTTGTTGTTTTAAATCATTTTTTAGAAAGTTTTTGGTCGAAGAAAAATACTGCTTTCAAGATTAGTTTGTGCTTACAAAATTACAACATTATTTATGCCCATATTTCTTTGATGTGTCATAAGCTTTGTCAACCTGGTCAGCAAAACTGACTCTACTGAGGATTCTGTATACAAAGATTCATACTACTTCATGAAATTGAGTTAACCAATGTGTTCTTCCTACATGGACCATCTGCTTTAACCTAGATTTTAAAAAGATTTTTGTTAAGATCAATATCTAGAAAAATATTTGTGGTATTTAATAAGCCAATAAAAGTTCTAAAATAAAAATAAGGGAAAACTAGCAGTTCACCATCTTTACCAGAACTGAGCTGAAATTATTCATTCGTATTTAATAACTAATAAGCCTAGGATATACTATCATTTAGTAAGGTATTTTGAAGAAAATAAGGAGCATGTATTTTTAATCATAGAATTAATGTAGATAGTAATATAATGGATGAGGAGTACAAATTTAAAAAGTTATATTATTTGGCATGTATTCAATAGATAATAAAATAAGATTGTTTCTAGTAAATTCACACTAAAATCATAATCACAACAGTTAGCATTTCAATGTTTACTGTGTACAGCAATTACTCCCTTCAATTTGTAGGAATTAAGTATTTGATTTTGAAAAGAACATTGTGAGATAGGTATTAATGTCATTCTATTACAAATGAAGAAAAAGGCACAAAAAATGCTAAGTAACTTGCTAAAGTCAAAGCTATTAAATATTAGAACTAGGAAAAAACCTCTTAACCATATGAAGATGGATGTTGAAAATTAATAATATGGATAATACTGAAAAAATTAAATAAACTAATTTAAAATTAAATAAGTTAAGAGTTAAGTTAATTAATTAAAATTAGCAATCTGGATGGCACTGGAAAATGAGTTTTTGTTTATTTTTGACATATTATAAATGGATTAATTAGTCAGGTATGTCCTTGGCACAAACCCATCAGCAAGGAAGCAATTAAGTGTGTTTGTAAAGTTAACAACACAAAGTAAGAAACAGAGAGATAAATTTTGGGTTGCAGCAGGAATATTCAAAAAGGCAACTCTAAGAGAAAGTAGAATCAAATTGCAAAGCCAAGATGAAGATCTATAGACTCAAGTCCATAGCCTGAAAAAGCAAAAATGGAAAGATAAATCATATTAAGAGATTATTTATAGGTTTTTAATACTTTTTATTTTAAACAAACGAGTTCTTAGTTTTCCTTATTGATTATTCCATTTAGCAGAAAGAGAGAAATAATTGTGAAGTTCACTGTTGCCCAAACAATGAATATTAATACTTGACTGAGAAAAACTATTGGGAACTTTAGGCAAAAAAAAAAAGAAAAAAAAAAATTGTATCATTCTACAATTTCTAATGGCCAGAAAGAGCTTTGGTCATGCCATACATATACATGTTACAAAGTATAATGTAAGAAAACTTATACTATTTATTTGACAGTATGCTGTTACTAAAATGATGTGAATCTGAGTGTAAAGGTGCAAAGGAATTTTCTGCAAATTTGAATATATAAGTCTTAGGGATTGCTATGGTCTTAATGTCAAAGCTTAATCACCAACATAATAATATTAAGGGGTAGTGCTTTTAGGAGACAATTAAATTATAAGAGAGGAGCCATCTTGAATGAGATGCATGACCTTATACAGGAGGTTGAAAAGAACACTGTAGGCTTTTTGCCTTTCCATCTCTTAAGCCATGAGAGGAGACAGATTTTATCCCTTTTTCCCCCCTTCCACCATGTGAGGATACAGCAACAGTCTTGAAAGCAAGACTGGGCCCTCAGCAAAGAACCTGCCAGTGCCCTGATCTTGGACTTCCCAGCCTCTAGAACTGTGAGAAAGAAATTTCTAGTATTTATAAGTTACTCAGTCTGTGGGATTTTGTTATAGTAGCCCAGAATGAACAAAGAGCTATAAAGAGTCAAATTTCTTCCTTTTTTTTTTTTTTTTTTTGAGACAGAGTCTCACTCTGTCCCCCAGGCTGGAGTGCAGTGGCACGATCTCTGCTCACTGCAAGCTCCACCTCCTGGGTTCACGCCATTCTCCTGCCTCAGCCTCCCAAGTAGCTGAGACTACAGGTGCCTGCCACCATGCCCGGCTAATTTTTTGTATTTTTAGTAGAGACAGGGTTTCACCATGTTAGCCAGGATGGTCTCGATCTCCTGACCTCATGGTCCGCCTGCCTCAGCCTTCCAAAGTGCTGGAATTACAGGTGTGAGCCACCATGCCCGGCCAAAGAGTCAAAATTGAACTTGTATCTGTACTGGTCTTCAGTAATAGGAGTTGAAAGTTGAACTGGTCAACATTTCCACTGAAATAGCTTTTAACAAATCTTAAAGACATTGAAGATTTGAAAGGCAATTTCCTCATGAACAGAGATAAACTTAGTATGAGAGTAAGAACTTGGCATGCCCTTAGAGCATGTACCAATACTAAGCAATGGTGCTCAAGTCCTGTTTCTCTTTCAAAATCCAACCTCTTGGGCTTAGAGGAATAGAAATCAATGCTTAAGTTGAGAAAATGGAAAATCTTCTGAAGGACATCCTCACACCCATGTTGGTGCCCTACTATTACCTGCAGGCTCACAGGCATCTTGCTTGTGCCCCTCCATGTTCTCATCTAATCTGCATTCCCTCAGCAGCCCTGTGAGGCTCACCTGTTGACCACCAGGCCTTTAATTTCTCCCCCATGCCCATACTACCTTACTACCAGTTGTGGCAGCTATTCTCTTAAACTCCAAGAGACTGATTACATTGTTACAATCACTTACCCTTATTATTTTAGCTTTTATTTCTATTTTTCTCCATCTTTAAAATATCTCTTTCATTGAGGAATTCTTCTCAGTTATGGACAAGCAAAAGTGTTTTTCATTCTAAATAATTTCTTCCATTATGTATTAATCCACTTCATCTATTAACTTCTATCACTTGTCCATTTATCATATAAACTTCTCAATAACACACTTTTTGTACTCACTTCTCAGTACACTTACATCTGATTTTTACCAGCAAAATTTAATTTAATTAAGAAAACTAATGTGCTCCTGTTTATCAAATCCAATTCCTTATGTTAAAATTCAGGAGCCACATTTAGGACTGTTTTCACATCTCCTTGAAATGTTTTGTTCTTTTTGAATTTATGAAACTTTTGGTTATTCTTTTGGTTGCTTTAGTCATATTTTTGTTTGTTCCAAGTACTTGTATCTTACCCACACGTTGTCAAAAAAACACTCTAAAATTATTCCTCAAGTCTATATTCTTTAAACCTAGCTCTTACATTGGCCACTTTTTCCATCCAAAAAACAAATAGAAAAGTTTAGGACCCTTGCTGGAAAGCCTTTAATATCTTGGGGAGAATATTAACACTTTCTTTTTGAATGATAACTTATTATCATTTTTCAGAACACAGTAAGTTGGAACTAATATTCTCACAACAAAATTACATATTAAACTTTAACTTTATTTGCCCTCAAAAAAAAAAGTAATTGTCATGGCTACAAGGAGACAGAAAAAAGAAATTGCAAGGTAATACATCTCATGCTGTTGACTGTTCTCTCACTCTTAGGTGTCTAAGACAGTGGCTCCTCACTTTTACTAGAACCTAATTCTGAAAATAAATAGGAAATAATTAAGTCAAAAAATGTGGGAGAATGTAGAGGAGGGGAAGAGTTTGCTAATGTCGGTGGATTACCTTTCTATTGCTGCTTTAACAAATTGTCACAAATTTAATGATGTAAAGTAGCACCTACTGGATTTCTCACCGTTTTTGTGGATTAGAAGTCTGAGCACAGTGTAGCCCACTTATCTCTCTGACAGAGATGCATAAGCTTAAAATCAAGGTTTTAGCAGGCTGTGTTCCTTTTTGCAGGCTGAATGGAGGAATGTACTTCCAAGCTCGCTGAGGTTTGGGCAGAACTTAGTTAAATGGGACTGTTGGACTGAGTTCCTGATTTTTTTTCCTGATTGGCCAGGGATCCTTCCCAGCTTCTGGAGATAAGCTGTAGTTCTTTCTCCATCTTGAAAGCAATGAATGCTGATGATTCATTCTCATGCTTTAAATTTGCCCAACTTCTTAAGCTTCTTCCCTCCCACTTTTTTCTGCTGCTTTTGGGATTATGTGAATATGTTGTACCTACTTGGATAATCCAAGGTAATGTCTCAATTTTAAAGTCTCCTAATTGGTCATCTTTACTATATCTGCAAATATATTATTTGTAATTTTACCTAGATTAGGAGTCAGACATTTGAGGAAAATTGCTAGAATCCAGCTCATCATATCTGGCCAAATCCCATTCTTCTAAGAGGAGAGCTGGAAGATGGAAGTTTTCACTCTATATTGTTTCAAAAAATTGAAAGAATAAAGGCAGAAGACTCCCGGAAACTTGTATCATTGTCTCTTGGATTTTTCTTTCTGGAAAACAAGTCTAATTTGCTTATTTTTTCTAATGTTTAAAAACCATTTAGTTTTCAGAATATATGAATATCCTTCGAAACATTTTTACATGCTTTTAGAATAGTTTGATCAAAAATAGCTGTAGAAAAGAGCTGGTTCAATGATGTAATGATATGTTATTTCAAAAGAACATGAATAATATATGTGTTCCCTAACCTTCCAAAATCTATCTATGCACTAATCAACTTTTAAGCCATATTTTAGATATTATCTTCCCCCCAAATATGTGCATTTTCTTCCCCATACCCCCATATTTCATTAACTACTCATCAATATACTTCCCTAGCCCCTTGTACATACCCCTCCTATATAGAATTTATTTCAGTAACTATTTGTGCAACATTGTTTCACATCAGAATAATACTTTCCTTCAACCAATGGCCATATGACCATATCTTCATCTTTTGTTTAGTTTTAAATAAGTGCATAGAGTATTGCAGAGTATATGAATGATAGAGATATAAAATCTCCATGTCAGCTTTGGTTCAATTGCCTTCATAAATAAAGATGCTTATATTTAATATTGAGTGTGAGGAAATAGAAGGAACTATGTGAAATCTGAGTACCTTAACTGATGTTCCTATAGAAGTTTGTAGCATCAAAAGTCTGTCAGCATGAGTCTGTAATAATAATGGTACCAAAGAAAAGATAAATATTAATCACCCCCATTCCTAGTGCCTGCTAATGAGCCAGGTTTTTAAATTATTATTTCACATGTTATAAGATTATATGAGGAAATGAAATATGACCTTCAATGGTATATTGTGTGTGAAAGATCCCTTCAAACAACAGCCAAGATATGATTATTTCAAACAACTCCATGATGTTTCAGCCTTCCAGTTACTCGTGAAATTGGAAAAGACTAGGCCACCAAAAACAACAAAAACCAAAAAGCAAAAAATAATCTCAGAAGATATTTTAAAAACAACAACGAGGTGTGTATATCCCCTGGACACTGTGAAGATTTAAGGGAAAATTTTCGACAACCTTCTCACATGACCTCTCTACAATTATTTGGTTTCTTTTTACCAGCAAACTCCTGCAACTTTTTCTCTCACATAAAATTACTATCTTATACTCCTGTCCTGATCTCTTTCAACTGTCAGTTTTTCTGTATTTGATTCTTTTGTGAGGCAGACAAGAGGAATGTGATAGGATGAAGCAAGGTGGCAGCCTGTCAGCAGGATTAGCACCTCATAATAGTCAACTACATGTTTGGACAACTGGCCATGGACTCCCTTGGTTGGTCCTAAGATGGCAGTGTGGGGAGAAAATTATACTTTTCAGATCCATTCTAGGCATTTAGCGCCTTGAAGCAGAGGTTACAGTTGGTGTATTCAGAGTCCAGAGTGCTCACCGTTACACCATGTAACCTCACACTGTAGAGGTTAGAGTTGGGAATTACCTGACCATGTGCCCTGGCTATGCTGTGTAGCAGAAAAAGGCTTTGAGCCTAAGAGAAGCTAAATTACCTCAATGCACATTCCCTGATGCCAGGGTAACAGGTGGATGGCTGTGTGATCTGCTGATTGCTGGCTTTCACCGCAAGCTATTGCAGGCAAGAGGAAAGGCTTCAGCACTAACAAAGTGGAATGAGTCTAAATGAATTCAGAAAATGTTTGCTATGTTTTAGTTTATGCAATTGGAATGTAATATCTGATATCAACTTACATAATTCTCATGTCATACATAAAGTGATCTTGGAAATATGTATGAAATTATGTGTTAATTTCAAAATAGGGAGAAATTTATGATAATATTTGACTCTTTAACCTCCACAGTACTCCCACCAAATGCAGTCAGTAACTTGTATAATATTGGAAACAATTTTTAGGATACCAGCAGAGACCTGGAATAATAGGTATTTTAGATGACTGAATTAGAATCTCAAAAAGCTTTTGGCACATTGGAGTGACAGAATGGATCATACAGGGTGACACTTAGCAAGCTTGAGAAGGTGTTTACAAACTTCAGGCTCCAGGTTAAATTATAATTAAAAAAGAAAAAAGTGAATTAGATTATGTCTTATTAATATTATTAAAGATGAAACTTAGAGTAAAAACATTAGAATACTGATCTACAGCAATTTTCAAAAAAATTATTATAATTACATTTACATTTCTGGGGCACGGTTATTAAATATATATATATTTAATAAGGTATGTATATATATATTGAGTTATCTGATCCATCCACTATGAGGGTGAGGTTAGCAAGATACTATTCTATTATATTTCTTTGATCCTGTGTAAATCATGCACTTGTGCTTTGTTTCGCCCACCTCTAGATATTGACTTTGTATGTTTGGCAGTAAAATCAAACAAATATAAACAGATCACCTGCTTTTTGCTGATTGTTGGCATTTAGAGAATCTAAGCTTGAAAACCTTATTGTTCACCATATGATACAAAATGACCTATGAATTGACAAGCACAATATTAATTATCTAATTTCTATATAATGATATTTTTAAACGTATTACATTCAATTTCTTCCTTTTTGCAAATTTTTTGAAGACTATTTGCTTGTTATGCATTAAGAAATATGAGCTATGGATTAATGTATTTTCATTTAATAAAACACTACCCTTTAAGGTTACTAAGTTGTGCATTTTTATCTAACTTTCACTGTAATAATTATTCCACTTTAATAGTGCCATCATGATTTTCTTAATTTACTAATATAGTTTTATCCACAAAATCACTTTACATGCTTCTGATGTGAATCTTATCATTGGGCTTTTTTGCAGCAGCTCCCTAACTCTGAGACTTTTCCTATTAGGAGATGGCAAGAAACCTATAACTGGGTCATGATCTTTGGTTGTCTTTTCATTGTTCCTGGATCTATTATATATGCTTTACCTCCCTTGTAGGATTTAAGTTGTTTTCAAAGCTAAGATCATGATTCTATTTCTCTGAGACCTGGAAGTTGTCCATATTCTCTTGTGCTTGTTGTCACCATCTGTTCTTACTAAATGGCCACTTCCCAACAATAGTTGGACAGAAGTCTCTCAGGACAAGGATAACATCTTGATAGAAACATATAATGGAATTGGAATCTTTTCTTACTCTCTGGAATTATTAAAACAACTACTTTAGGCAAAGGATACATACTTAGTAAGTTTCAACTTCTTCGCTTGAGGCAAAATTCTCTGTTTGCTCTTTCAGTGGAGCCTCTACATATGGTCACAAATTCATCAGCATGATCAGCTTGCAAAATTATAGAACAAGTCAACTTACTGGATGGCAGTCTCCTACAATTTTTTGAAGCAATCTGGGCACCAAATGGCAGCAATCTTCTCCAATTCTGTTATAATTTCTGATGACCACAGGACCAATAGTATCTAAGAGGAAATATAAAAGACAGTGAGAAAAGATGATTAAACTTTTAAAAGCACAAAACTTTTACACATCTATGAAATAAAAATTGACATCACAAGTTTCATAGAAAATATTTAAAAGAGGTAAAGAAAAGATATGAGAATGAGGTTACTTTCCAAAAAATTAAAATATGTGTCTTTATGCATCATTTGATTACACCTTATTTAAATTCATTTTTGAAGGTACATTTCGGATTGATAATGACCTTAGTAGCAATGTTGCAAAGCTAGGTTTTATTAAAGTTGTTTTACCTTAGTGACACAATTCAAGCTAATGTGCCAAACAAAATGTAGCCTAATTAGTACAAATGAAGGAAAGAGACAATTAGCCAAGGGGGAATAATGAGCAAAGGGAACTGGTAATGTGAATCTAGACAATCATGAAAACTTCCAGCCAGCAGGCAGAAAGATAGATGTACTCACCCATTATTCAAAATACACCTTGAAAAACAAGGATTTTAATTTATCTTTACCTTGATTTTGACTCAGATATATTTACTCAGGATTATGTGCTTGAGTTGATGTTTTTGTTAATAATTGGTATGATTAATAGGCCATATAAATTTTAGTATATATTATGCACCTTATAAATTTTATTAAATATTAGTTAAAATGCACTACACTGTGCTCAGGGGTATTAACACACACTAAGACTGCAGATGCCTAACACAATAGAAGTCTATGATTTATCATCATGTGATTTATATTTAAAGAAAGTAGAAGAGACAATTTTAGTATTATTCATCTCATACTTTTAAAAATGCCATGCACTGTCTCTTCAAAGTAGAATATATCTGAATGATGCATTCAATATACTTGGATACAGTTGCCTCTGTTTGTTTTTTTTTTTTCATGGTTAATAATTTTGGGATTTTTATACTGCATTCTAGAAGAAAATTTAGAGGCAATGGTAGAGTATGAAAAAGGTGAAAATATTTGTTTATTTTTTTTCTCTGATATGTAAAGCCTGATTATTTGTATAAACTCTTGGGACAAAATTTTTTTATAAGTTGAAATATAAAAGCAAAATAACTTCTGTAAAGCAAAAGAATTAAAGTACATGTGTAATTGCTTAAGACATCACTAGAGAGTGATATATATTTGGATTATTATCTGGAAAGTAAAATGGTAGATGATAAACATTAACTTGATAAAAATTGAAACTAAGTTAACGCCAAATAATTTCTTTTGATTGCACTGCCAATGGATAAATGTGAACTGATTTGAGTCATTCCTGGAAGTATATATACATTTCCAAATTGGAACAAGGCAGAATAAAAATACATTTCCTGAATCCATTCTAGAAGTTATTCTTAACTAATATTCTATTTAAATCCTGGCATATTATATAAATATTTTGAAATTATACCGAAATGTTTTGTTTAAGAGGTAATGAAGCCAAATCTTAACATACTAGTGAGCTATTTGCCAATTTAACACAGACCCACAGGAATCTTTCTGTTTGCAGAAGGATTTATTCAAATGTAGATATTTATAGCATGTTATATGCATTTTGTACTAATACATTACTCTGAGAAATAGTATTTTCAAATTTTTACTATTTTATATTTAGATACAGCAAAACATTTTGGTATTGAAAAGTACTTTATGTACCCATTTTCACAGAAGTTAACATTTAACCAAAAGCTGCTTTACCTCTGTTTGTAGAGAAGTAAACATTTTTGTGATAGCTTGACTGAAAATAAAGATTGTTTACAGCTATTATTATAGTCTTTGTTCTTAGATTAGTAGTTGCTGGTAAGTTTATCTCACTTTTTTTACAAGTACATATAAATGCTGTTTATTTATCTAAGTGAACTCCTGCTGTTTTATAAAGGCAATTAATTATTCCCAGCGCCAAACACTTTCTTGTCACTATAAAATACACAACACTTTCTTCTTTCATTGCTTATATTTAAGCTAGATTTGAATAATACTCTTTTTTACATTGTAGAGAGTCACTGAGCCCACTGAAAATTATATTATAGTAACTTTCCTCTATTCTGCTTCATCTCTCCATGGTGCAACATAGAAGGTTGCACAGATAGAGATATTTTAAAATACCTCTATTAAGCGCATCATTTTCTTCATCAATTGACAAGAAGTAACTATCACAACTGTTTAAAGTCTCTCATTTAAGTGTTCAACAGTATTAAAACAAAGGGTCAAAAATGTGATTTGCATATTATACATGCTCTCTTCAGTTAGATGATGCAATGAAATGGAAAAAAAAAACCTTTTACTCCTTGAAAAGCATGCGGTGTAATTTTATTTGAGGATATTTATATGTCTATTTATATTTGTACTTCTGTTGAGCTTGACTTATGACATCACTGTCTTACTATAGCAGCTTTTAAATGGTTAAACAGGAGAATTTAATAGAAAGGCATATAGAAAAATGAAAATTGGCCAAATTGTCATAGAAAAGACCTCTACCTTAAATCTAGATATTAAAAACTCCACATCCAAAAACAAACAAAACAACTCCACACATTTTTAAGGATATAAGAATTGATATGTGTCACAAAATATGTGTCACAAAATGTTAGTTGGATATTAACCAACTTACAGAAATTGCTATGAATAAGTCCTCTAAAAATCCAAGTTGTTCTAATGTGCTTTAGCTGGTGTCTTAACATTTTTTTCAAGTTTTATCCTACAAATCAGCAAATGTTGAATTTATATTTTTTAAATTTACCAAATAGTAATTTAGCATAGGAGAAAATAAATGCCAAAAGTTGCATATAAAAATACACCAATTTCTGAAGATGGTTGACTAGATGCATCTAGTAAGTGCCTCTTTCATAGAGAGGAAACAAAATATCAAGCAGATATTTAAACTTTGAATAGATCATCTAAAAGAGAACATTAGAATTCAACAGAGAAGTGAGGGAAAGCACCGAAAGCAAAGAGAGAAGCCAGAAGCAAGGTAGCCTGCACTGCTGGGCTGAGATCTGCTGGGAGCTGAGAGGAGCTCCCAGACATGAGGAAATGTTAAGTGAGTGACTACTGGGGCCCCACTTTCCTTCCACAAACTTCTAAAATCTTAGCTGCAGGAAAGCCCTTTGGTTTCAAAGACCTTGAGACCTTACACAGGGTGCTGCCTAGAGGCGAAGCCAAGGCACTGCTCCAGAAACACAATTCACACTGAGTTCCACAGTCTGCTGGCACCATTCTTAGAGTCAGGCCTACAAAGGTCTGCATTTTGTTCTGGGGTTGTTGTTATCACAGTTGCCACTGAGCTGAGTAGGGATAGGGAAGGCTGGGCACTGTCACGGACCTTGAGGACAAGTCCCACTGTTGCTGCTCTGACTGTTGTGCAACCATGATGTGAGGAAAGCACAAGCCCCACAGCTGTCTGCCTTCACTGCCTCCATTGAGCGGGGTCCTGCCCTTCTTGGAGGCAGGTCTGCAATGCAGCTGCCACTGCTTCCACATGAGCATTCTGCTGGTGGTATGGGGACAATCCCAACCCTGCCTATCACAATCAGTGCCAGAGCTTATTTTCAGAGAGCCTGAAGACCAATCTGCCAACCCAGTCCTGTCCTCCGAGTGTACCATCCGGGGCCTGGAGATCACCCAGCCCAGTCCACCACTATTGGCACCTTAGCACTCCTCCCAGGGTCTGAGGTAGGGTTGACCTAAACTGGTGATACTACCACATCTGACGACCACTTACATGAGCTACCTATGGGTGAGGGGACTGGCCCACTCAGCCTATCATATTCACTGCCACCACCAGCATGGATTGCTAGGGTTCTAGCAGGTTGTTTTACCACTGCTGCTGACACTGCCCACATCACATGCACTGTCCAAGGGCCCAAGAACATGTCCACATGCCCAACCCACCACTACCAACTGAGCAAACCACGTGGAAGCCCAAGAATTGGCTCAACTGAGCTCACTGACAGTGAAGCCATTGCATACCACTCTGGAACTCAAGACAAGGTATGCTCAGCCCACTACACCTACCACCACTGGGGCTTGAAGACTGGCCCACTTGGCATTCTGGTCCCCAGCTAAAACTCACCACAGCCTCCACTAATTATCACACCAAAAACCACTGAAGAAATCACAGATACCACTGGTGTTGTTTATAACCAAAGAAATCATACCGGGACTACCCTACTGCATGCATCCAAATTCAAGGCCAAAGTACCCTACCTAACCAGTAACATATATAAATATTCAGAAAAAAAAAAATCCTCCCCTACAAAAGAAAATTCGAAAAATTGGAAGAAGCAACTGTTACACCAGATGCACAGATATCAATGTAAGGATCCAGGAAAAGTGAAAAGTAAGAAAATATAACACCTTGAATAGAAAGCAATAATTCTCCAGGAACAGATCCCAGTCTAAAAGAAATTCACAAAATCCTAGATAAATAATTCAAAATACCAATTTTAAAGAAGCTCAGCAGATACAAGAGATTTCTCAAAAACAATACACTGAAATCAATAAAACAATTCATATGTTTTTCTAGATATGAATGGGAGATTTACTAATGAAACAGAAAATTTTTAAAAAGCCAAACAAATTCTAGAACTGAAGAATTTACTAAATGAAATACAAAATAAATTTAAAAAATTTAACAATAGACTAGGTCAAGCAGAAGAAAGAAACTTAGAACTTGAAGACAGATCTTTTCAAGTAATCTAGTAAAACAAAAATATAGAAAAAAGAATAAAAAAGAATGAGCAAAGCCTTTATGACTTTCGAGAAAACTTAAAGCAAATAAATAGTCAAACGTTCAGTGTCCCTGTGAGGAGAATGTGAAAGGGTTAGAAAACCTATTTAAGTAAATAACAGATAAAAGCTTTCCAAATCTAGCAAGAGAATTGCATGCCCAGATACAGGAGGCTCAAAGATCCCCAAAGAGATACAATGCAAAGAAGTTTTCACAACACATTATAGTCACAGTACGTAAAGTCAAAGACAAAGAGAGGATTCTAAAAATAGCAAGAGAAAAGTACCTACTCACCTACAAAGGAACACCCACCAGCCTAACAATGAATTTCTCAGCAGAAACCTTATAGGCCAGGAGAGGATGGGATGACATATTCAAAAGGCGAAAAGAAAAAAATAAATATACTGTCACCTAAGGATAATATATCTAGCCAAATTATCCACAAATGAAAGAGGAAGTATTTCCCAGATGAGCAAATGCTGGGAAAATTAATTATGGCTAGGTCAGTCCTGCAAGAAATGTTCAAGGGGGTCCTAAACCTAGAAGTAAAAGCATAACATTTACCATCCTGAAAACACATGAAAGTAGAAAACTCACTGGTAAACCAAACACGCAAATGAGGAAGAGAAAGGACTCAAATGGCACCACTATAGCATTAAAATAACCAAAAAACAATTAACAATATGACAGGAACAAAACTTCACATATCAATAATAACATTGAATATAAATGGTTAAATTATCCACCTAGAAGATATAGAAATGAGATTGAACTATGTGCTGTCTACAAGATATTCAATTTACTTGTAAAGACACATGTATACTCAAAGTAAAGGAATGGATAAAGTTACTCCACATATATGGAAACCAAAAGTGAACAGGAGTACCTATACTTAGAACAAACTTTAAGTCAAAAACAGTAAAAAAAAAAAAAAAAAAAAAAAAAAAGACAAAGAAGATCACTATATAATGATGAAGAGATCAATCCAGCAAAAGGAAATAACAATTCTAAATATATATGCAGTGAACACTGAAGCACACAGATTCATAAAGTATACATTACTAGATCCAAATGAGAGGTAAACTTCAATTATTTCACAATAATATTGGGGGACTTCAACAACATTAAAGAGAAAATCAAGAAAGAAACATTGGATTCAAATAGGACATTAGATCAATTTTAAATATATTTTCTAAATACACTGTAGCACACAGATTTATAAAGCATATATTACAAGATCTGAAGAGAGAGAGAGACAGAGGCTTCTATACAATAACAGTCAGGGACTTCAACACCCCACTCTCAGTATTAAAAAGAAAATCAAGAAAGAAACATTGGATTCGAATGGGACATTAGAACAAATGTACCTAACACCCATTTACAGAGTATTGTATCCAACAACTAGAGAATATATTTCCTTCTCATCAGCACATGGAACATTCTCTAAGAGAGAACATATATTAGGCCACAAAACAAGTATCAACAAGTTTAAACAAATCAAAATCATATTAAGTATCTTCTAAGACCACCATGGAATAAAACCTGAAATCAGTTCCAGGAGGAACTGTAGGAATGATACAAATACATGGAAATTAAACAGCATGTTCATAAACAATCACTGGGTCAATCAACAAATTAAGATGGTTATCAAAATGTTTCTTGAAACAAATGAAAATCAAAACACCACATACCAGAACCTGTAGGATATGTCAAAAGCAGTGCTAAAAGGAAAGTTTATAGCAATAAACAAATGCCTACATCAAAATGGTAGACAGATTTCAAATATAAAACCTAACAGTGCAACTCAAGGAACTAAGAAAACAGTAACAAACCAAACCCGAAATTATAAAAAATAATAAAGATCACTGTAGAAATAAACAAAGTAGAGACTTAAAATATATAAAGGATTAATGAAGTGAAAAGTTGTTTTTTTCAAAATGGAGACTAAAAAAAATAAAGGATTAATGAAATGAAAAGTTGGTTTTTCAATAAGATAAACACAATTGATAAACCCCTAGAAGGCTAACAAAGAAAAGAGAGAAAACCCAAATAAGCAAAGTCGGAAATGAAAAAGAAGACACTACAAATGATATGACAGAAATACAAGAGGTTATCTGAGACTATTATGAACAACTACACACTAATAAGCTGGAAACCCTAAAGAAAGTGGATAAATTTCTGGAAGCATACAACCTATTAAAATAGAATAAAGAAGAAGTAGAAAATCTGAACAGTGAGAATCAATCAGTATTAAAAAGCCTCTCAAAAAAGAACAGCCCAGGACCTGATGGATTCACAGACAAGATCTACCAAATGTATAAAGAATATAAAACCTTCTTTTTTTTTTTTTTTTTTTTTTGAGACGGAGTTTCACTCTGTCGCCCAGGCTGGAGCGCAGTGGCGCGATCTCGACTCACTGCAAGCTCCGCCTCCCGGGTTCACGCCATTCTCCTGCCTCAGCCTCCCGTGTGGCTGGGACTACAGGCGCGCGCCACCATGCCCGGCTAATTTTTGTATTTTTAGTAGAGACGGGGTTTCACCGTGTTAGCCAGGATGGTCTCGATCTCCTGACCTCGTGATCCGCCCGTCTCAGCCTCCCAAAGTGCTGGGATTACAGGCGTGAGCCACCGCGCCCGGCCAAAACCTTCTTAAACAACTTGAAAACATTGCCTTAAGATGGAAGAATTCTCCCTAACTCTTTCTATGATGCCAGCATTACCCTGATACCAAAATCAGACAAGAACATAACAAAAAAAAAAAAAAAAAGAAAAGAAAACTACACTCCAATATCCATGATGACCATAAATGCAAAAATCCTCAACAAAGTATAGCAAGCCACATTCAACAGCACATCAAAAAGACAATACCCTAGAATAAAGTGGGATTTATAGTAGGGATGCAGGATGGCCCAATATATGCAAATCAATAAGCATAATACGTTACATCAACAGAATGAAGGACAGAAACCATATAATTACCCCAATAGGTGCATAAAATGCATTTGATGAAATTCAACATCACTTTGTAATAAAAAATTTCAGCAAACCAGGAATACAAGGAACATACCTCAAAATAATAAAGGCCATATCTGACCAACCCACAGCTAACATCATACTGAATTGGGAAAAGATTACAACTTTTTCTTTAAGATCTGGAACAAGGCAAGGATGTCTGTTTTCACCGCATCTATTCAGTATAGCACTAGAAATCCTAGCCGGTATAATCAGGCAAGTGAAAGAAATAAAAGATATCCAAATTGAAAAAGAGGAAGTCGAATTTTTCCTCTTTGCAAACGATATGTTCTTTTAACTAGAGAAACCTAAGGACTCCACCAATAAACTTCTGGATTTGATAAATGAGTACAGTAAAGTTTCAGGATACAAAATCAACACACAAAAATCGGTAGTGTTCTATACACCAATAAAGAAATACCTGAGAAAGAAATCAAGAAAGTAATACCATTTACGATAGTGATAAAAATTTAAAACGTAGAAACAAATTTAACCAAGGAGGGAAAATCCCTCTATGGGGAAAACGACAAAACACTGATGAAAGAAATTGAAGAGGACACCAACCTAGAAAAGGCAACCCAAGCTAATGGATTGAAAAAATTGTTATTGCTAAAATGATCATACTGCCCAAAGTAATCTATAGATTGAATGCAATACTTACCAAAATACCAATGTCATTTTTCACAGAATTCGAAAAAGAAATTCTAAAACTCTTATGGAACTGAAGAAGAGCCTGAATAGCCAACAGCATCCTCTACAAAGAGAACCACGATGGAGGCATTATACTACCTACTTCAAAATATATTACAAGACTATAGTAACCAAAACAACATGATACTGGTATAAAAAACAGACACATAGAACAGTGGAACGGAATACTGAGTCCTGAACTATATCCACATATTTATAGGCAACTGATTTTTGATAAATGTGCCAAAAACCTATGCTGGGGGAGGGACACCTCTTCACTAAATGGTGCTGAGAAAACTGGATATTCACATGTGAAAGAATGAAACTGGACCCCTGTCTCTCTCCATATATAAAAACTAACTTAAGATTAATTAAAAACGTAAATGTAAGTCCCGAACCTATAAAACTACTAGAATAAAGCATAGGAAAAACACTTCAAGACATCTGTCTAACAAAGATTTCATAGCTAAGACTTCAGTAGCACAGACAAGTATAATAAAAATGGGCAAATAGGACTATATTAAACTAAAAAGCTTCTGCACAGCAAAAGATACAATCAACAGAATGAAGAGACAACCTGATGAAGGGAAGAAATTATTTGCAAACTATTCATCTGACAACAGACTAACATCCAGAATACACATGGAACTCAAACAAATTGACAATAAAAAAAACTCATTAAAATTGGACTATGGACATTAATAGACATTTCTCAAAGGAAGACATACAAATGGCCTGCAGGTATATGAAAAAAAAAAAAAAAACAACATCACTAATCATCAGGGAAACGAAATCAAAATCACAACGAGTTATCTTCTTACCCAGTTAGAATTGCTATTATTAAAGAGACAAAATATAACAGATGCTGGTGAGGATATGGAGAAAAGGGAGCTCTTACACATGGTTGGTGGCAATAAAAATTAGTTCAACCACTATAGAAAACAGTATGGTATTTCTAAAAAAAAAAAAAAATAGAACAACCATATGATCTAGCAATACCACTACAGAGTATTTATATCCAAAGGCAAATAAATCTGTATATCAAAGAGATACCTGCACTCTCATGTTCATTCCAGCACTACTTACATTAGCAAAGATATGAAAACAACTTGTGTCCATCAATTGATGAATGGATAAACAAGACATGCAATATATACACACAATTGAACACTATTTGGCCACGAAAAAGAACATAGGCTTGTCATTTGCAACAACATTGATGGAACAGGAGACAGATAAAACAGATATCACGTATTTTCACTCATATGTGGGAGCTTTAAAAACTTATTTTATGGAGATAGAAAATTTCATTATATCAGAGGCTGAGAAGGGTGTGTAGGTGGGAGCAAGGAATGAGGAGAGGTTGACTAGTGGGTGCAAAGATACCCACTAGTATGTTAGGTTGAAGAAATAAGCTCCAGGCTAGGCGCGGTGCTCATGCCTATAATCTCAGCACTTTGGGAGGCTGAGGCAGGCGGATCACGAAGTTAGGAGATTAAGACCATCCTGGCTAACACGGTGAAACCCTGTTTCTACTAAAAATACAAAAAAAAAAAAAAAAGAAAGAAAGAAGCTCCAATATTCGACAGCAGAGTAGGGTGACTATAGTTAGCAACAATATGCTGTATATTTCCAAGTAGCTAGATGATAGGATTTGAAATGTTAGGAACACATAGAAAGGAGGAATACTCAAGGCTGTGAATACCCTAAATTCCCTGAATTGATCATTATGCATTCTATGCATGTAGCAAATACTCACATGTACCCCATAAACATGTAAAATATTTTGTCTCAATAAAAACAAGAAAATAGAGAAAAAAACAAGTGTATGTTGACGGTAACAAATATATGCACAAAGTTATCTGCATATTAATTGCCCATCTCTGGTTACATGACACTTATTCATGTGAGGAAAAAACCTCCACATATCCTTTATTCCATATATTTTTATGTGGCATATATAGTCACTAAATATACGCTAGAAATCACATATGTGACCAGTAACATGTGCACCAAGGTGTACCGATGAGGGAGGTTACAAAAATTACCATTTCACCCACCTGTCCTACATATCCCAGTTTGTGTGGGAAGCTGCATCAGAAGTATCAAGAAATAAAACACATTAGAGATATTAAAAAAGAAAAAACTTCTTAAATATAATATACCAGGCCTTAGTATACTATTTTTGTGACTGACAGAGTTGCTAATACTGTCCTATTTTCTTTCTTCTTCTTTCAGACAACATAATAAAAGGAACGAGAGCAACATTTATAATGGAAGAAAAAAATGCCTATGATGATCTCTACCCTTTGGAACAAAAAAGCTCAGTAATGCTTGTCTTCCTATTTGCTAGGGGAGCAGCAGAAAAATCCATTTCAATTTCTATTCAGTATAGGGGTTTTATATGTAGCGCACAGAAACAGAATGTTGATGTCAGGAAATGTGCCATATGTGTCAAAGCAAGTGGGAGGGAGAACTATGAATGGCTTCAATGAATGAACTGACTTGAATGCAATGTTTCTTTTGTAATGATAATAGAAGTGGGAAAAGTTTGCATGTGTATGTATTTCTAACACTAAAACTATTTTAAAGGGCAAAAATCATTTGAGAGAAACAACTCAGGGGTCAGATAATTGATGATTATTGGCCTGGATTCTTCAAAAAAAGGTTATGTAAAATCATTAAATAAATAAAATGTATATTTAAAGAGTCAATAGTAGAATTACAGTAAAATACAATTTGTGACATTTAATTGGATCCTAGCTAAGAAGAAGAACAATTAATGGGGAAATTATAACTCAATATAATAACTTTGAGTTTATATATATAATATATATATTATATATTTATAATATATATTAGATATATTATATACATAATATATATAATAAATATAATATATATAATATATATATTATATATAATAAATATAATATATATATTATATATAATAAATATAATATAATAAATTTGAGTTTATATATAACTCAAAATATAAACTCAATATTGGATAAAATTTTTGTTATATTTTAGGAATAATATTTTAGAAGCTATGATTATATTGTAGGTATTTTACAGATATAGTACTTCTTAAAAGGTGTGAAATTAAGCATTTAGGAGTTAAAAGTCATGATGTCTGCAATTTAATATCTGTTGGTGCATATAAATTCACACACAAAAGCAATGTTTATTTTGCACAGAACCATGTTCATTGAAACACATACTTATCCAAAGTCCATGATTTTCTTTCTCTCTTTCTTTCTTTCTTTCTTTCTTTCTTTCTTTCTTTCTTTCTTTCTTTCTTTCTTTCTTTCTTTCTTCTTTCTTTCTTTCTTTCTCTCTCTCTCTCTCTCTCTTTCTTTCTTTCTCTCTCTCTGTCTCTCTCTCTCTCTTTCTTTCTTTCTTTCTTTCTCTTTCTTTCTTTTTCTTTCTTTCTTTCAGATGGAGTCTCGCTCTGTCACCCAGGCTGGAGTTCAGTGGTGCGATCTTGGCTCACTGCAAGTTCCGCCTCCCTGGTTCACACCATTCTCCTGCCTCAGCCTCCCGAGTAGCTGGGACTACAGGCACCCGCCACCACACCTGACTAATTTTTTGTATTTTTAGTAGAGACGGGGTTTCACCATGTTAGCCAGGATGGTCTTGATCTCCTGACCTCGTGATCCACCCACCTCAGCCTCCCAAAGTGCTGGGATTGCAGGTGTGAGCCACCGCGCCCGGCCAAAGTCCATGATTTTCAAGATTTAGTGATAATTGCAATATAATTCTAGTCACCATGTGACTGTGCAAAACGAGGACTTCCTATGCAAACTGAGGACTTACTATGCCAACAGTAGCAAAATGTTAATAAAATATTTTAACAAGTAGATTTAGTCATTGGGTGTAAGGCAATTATTTTATAATTCTTTCAATTTTTCTCTATTTATAAAAAATTCAAAATAAGTACAAAAGTTTAATTTATTTTACTTATCTATATTCATATAAAATCTGAAACCTTACCCCTGTGATATACACACACACACCAGACACACACATACACCAGACACACACACACAGACATGCACACACCAGACACTTACATGGAAGGAGAAAAAAATTTAACAGATATTAGCAAAAGTATAATTATCATTACAGACTTGGTGTATTTCTGAAACTTCACGAAATTGCTATTAGAATAGTGTGCATTAATGAATATAAATCATTTGAATTAATAAGAATTATATAAAAATCTGACTTTTTAGAAAAGTACTGTCTTAGGGAGTCATTTCTATGTCAATAGGTATCTATGAGTCAATTTGAAATGTGTCACTGTCAATTAGAGTTGTATCATCATAATCATTAAACCATGGAATCAAAGACAAAAATTTAGAAATCATGTAGATAATAGTATATATGAAATTCTTATCCTAAATATAATTTTTTACCTAAATAAATTCATTTATCCTAAGTAAAATCATTTTATAATTTCTTATTCTGGCTCTGTTTTTTACATCCCAACATAAACACATACACATATTTATATGTGAAAAAAATCATGTTACAGAAGTTCTTAAAAAATTAACTAGAACCATAGGACTTTAATTGCTGAAAATAATGAAACCTAGAGAATGTATACAGTGGTCATGACTAAACATGTCAGACATTGAGAAAAAGTTAATTAGGTACTTGAAAACATCAACAAGTAAAATTGTTTTATCTCAGCTTGGTCTGACTAAATATGGAAATATCCAAAACATGAAGAAGAAAGAAGTGAAACTGAAATTTAGTCAAAGAGTGTTCATGTAGCAGGTTATGTTTTCTGGGATGCAGATTCTGAGACGGAGTTTAGTTTGCAGAATAAATATTTAGGACTTCCCTTGAGATCAATCACTATTGAGTGGAGCTGGAGGCAGTAGGAAGTAGGTTTGGGCCAAGGAAGTGTTGAGTTGTCATGCAGGCCCATAACATGGACAAATCCATTATGATCCACAGCCTTGGAAAAACTCATTATTAGCCATGAAGTAACGCCCTTTCAGAGTTGACCTTAAGATTAGCTTGAGATGGCCTGGTGTTTAGACTCATACATATATCGGTTAATGGAAGTGAGTTGTCCCAGGGAATGAGTATGATTTTGGGCAAGGCACCTCTGCAGCTGAGGCAATTCCTGGGAATGACAGCTAAAGGTTAAATGGAGGCACATCACAGATGCCATCATTTGCAGCTCTTAAATCCACTTCATGTACACTCTGAATCTTCTCTGTATTTCTAGTGGATTCTCTGCTTGGAGGAATCTTATGAGAAGAAAATTAATGGATTAAAATCCAGGAACTTCTTCTGTAGCTGGCTACAACTAACAGTCATCACTTCTCTTCTCTATTATCCATTTAAATTCTTCCTTCTCCTCAACTGTTAGCTTCATTGGTCTCAATGGCTTACCATGTAGTGTGACCTAGATTTTAACTCCTAGCATCTGAGCCCATGGTCACCATACCTTACTCAGGCCAGAATGGCTGCACCTGTCCATTTAGTGTCAAAATACAGCAGGAGTATGACCATAGGTACCCAAATGAATCACCTCTGCTTAATAAATATTCTTTCTTGAACCCATGCATGACAGCAGCCCTAACACCTACTGATGATCATGGCAATTTATCTCTTCCAAGATGTCAATTATCTTAACTTTTCTTCCCTGGTGATCATTTGACACAAGTATCCCATAGTGAAAAGTGTCACTCTTACCATATAATTCAAAGGAATTTTTCCCGGGTCCTCTGGACCTGGTGGAAGTATTCCCCTTTAGGAAACTAAGACCTCTAAACATGTCAAGCCTAGAATTCTATTTCCTGTGTGGCTTTTTGAGAATAAAGGTAATGAGGCCCACTCCTGCTTCAACTGTTTGGTTTCCAGAACCATGTTGGATGTCCACATTCTAAATTTCCCTAAGTAGCAATTTAATGTGATCAAATAACAATCCCATAACAAGGACAGAACAATGGTTTTGTTGCTGGCAGGTTGGCCTTTTGATAGCAGAAGGAGTTACATGAACTTTGATAAGTCAGAACCAATGTTTCAGGATCCATTCTGAGCCTCTACTTTGGCTAGGCAGTGGGATAGTCAATGAGAATCTGGCCGATGTCAACTGGTTGAGTCACTTTATCTACTTGGTTTGTTGAATACGTTTTCCATGATAGAGGCTCACTGGTGGACTTCAATAATGTGATATAAAAATCTTCTCATTGCTCCCACTCTCATACATTAATTCACTAAACAGGAGTTTCCTGTGAATTATCTGCTCTTCCTTCTTTTTTAACTTCTTGTCTCCTAACCAAGGAACTAAGCCATTTTCCAATATCTACAAGTAAGTATAAATTATAACCTTGAGCTATGTCTCTTTTTACACAAAGTGGATGACTAGGTGCTCTGCACACAAAGGAAATTTTCTGTTGCCAGTGCCTCTCAAGGTTACTACTGAGTAAATATGTAGAGAATTTCCATTCACTTTTTAACTTATATGCACACACAGATATTCTACCCACCTATAGGCAAAGTGTGGACTTTTTATCCTCCATCAGCTGGCCACATAGGTTCCTGCATATTGTTATAAAGTAAGTGTAAGCTGAGGGAGAGGGGGGGCAAATGAAATAATGGTGGTCAACTTGGGAGTCTGCCTGTATAACTTGTTTGTGGTCCCTGATTCTGCATGTGCTTGATCCAGAATGCATCACTTCTTTTTAATGATGGATTGTTGTTTTAGTCACCTCTCTTTATGACTGATGGATCTGACATAACTCAGTTCATGATGGGCAGTTGTAGCCATATGGTCAGTTAGTGGTGATAATTAGGTGCTCCATGTCTACCATGGCCCAAAAAAACGCCAGAAATTAGTTTTGAGGTATAGAATTTCCTGCTGATGGCATAACCTTATTCTGGAATGCTAAGCATCTATGTTATAATTCTACCATTATCAGAATTTATAAAAATTATCTGCTATGGACTGAATGTTGTGTCAAAATCAAATGTACATCCTGCACATGTACCCTGGAAATTAAAAATTAAAATTAAAAAATCAAATGTTAAAACCCTAATTCTCAATGCAAGCGTATTTGGAGATGAAGCCATTGGAAATTAATTAGGTCGTGAAAGTGAAGCCTGATTATGGGATTAGTATCTTCAAAAGAATACAAAAGTGAGTTTGCTTCTCCCTTTCTATGCTCTCTGTCATGCAGTAAGAACATGGCTGTCTGCAATCCAGGAAGTAGGCATGCTTGAGATATCAGATATACTGGCAACATTTCTTGGACTTCCCAGCCTCAAGAACTGTGAGAAATTATGTTTGTTGTTTATGTCATCTAGCCTATGATATTTTTCTTATTGCAGCCCAAACTCGCTAAGACAGTATCCCTTTCAACCACTGATACCTCTAATACTAAATGGTCTGCTGAGTCATGAGGCCTAAGGGACAAAATTTCTGTAACCACTGTCTTAATATGACTCAGAGCCCTTTTGTGTTCTTGGCTGCACTCAAAACAGGTAGCATTTCATGTCATCTGTTATATGCAAAGAGGTTCACTGTGCACTGATTACCATTTGGGTCCATGGCATCTTGAGTTGCTATTTCTATTACTTGCACAAGTCCAGTGAGACAGAACACTTATACTACAAGTTCGTAGAAGCAACTTTATTTCTCACAGACTGGCACCAAGCAATAATAAAGTCTAAGATTCATGGTGAGCCAGTCCCTCAAAGCTCAGAACAGCTGTCCAAGGCAGATGAATCTCATGCACTGTATCTGTGAGACTCTGAGAAACACCTCACCCTAGCTTTTGGACCCTGGAGGAAATTTAATCTTAGGGGCTTTCACTTATTTTTTTCTATTATATCTTACCCCACTAAACAAGATTATAATATCATGGTCTTGCCAGCTACCAAGTACATCTCTACCTATTATTTATTTAGAGACCAGAAAAATAACCATTAATAATCCATGACCGATAGGTCCATTGCTCTATTGGTCCTCCTGTGATCTGCTTGGCCAGGACTCCATTTATCATTTGACTGAACATTTCCCAATTACAGCAGATGATGTATAATAATGCTTTGGTCCTCTGATATCAATGTGAACTTGGACCCTGTATCCAACTGCTCTTGAAGTATTTGGGCATTTCCATTTCTTCACTACACAATTAACCAAATAAATACCTATATGTCCTTTAGAGAAGAACTGAGCAAATCATGCACACTTATTATGATATTGCAGCATTCTTCAGCCTCCTAATCATATACCTGTGATTTCTTTTGATAGTGTAAATTAAGTATTGCCCTATTTTCCTGCCCACTTAATGTGCTCCTAGGATGCTATGTTCTTTAAACCATTTTCACAGCTGTCTTAATCAGTCTCCTTCCTTTTATGTTAACAGTATTTTGCATCCATTTTGCTTCCGATTTAGCACTGCCACCTGCACTCTATTTTGTGGCGCACTATCACCTGTCCTGCTAAAAGAGAACATACTTCTGCAATGATCTCTTCAACAATCAATCCCATGGCAATATGGAGAGTCACCACTGACCTTTCTGGTAATGTGAGTGATGCACTCATCTGAACATTTCTTATGTCCTTGTTAAATAATGTATGCTCCGAATATTTTTATAAGGCATAAATATCTGGTGAGACTTCCAGCCAAATATATAAATATATAAATATTAGCATGCTCACTTCTTTGAGCCATTTAATCACTTATTCTATTGTAGAGCTGGCAATTTTGGCACATACACCTCACTCGTGGAGCCATTGCCATCATCTTAGGAGGCATTCTACTAGCATGTTTATACCATCTCCTGGGGTAATTGCCAGGATGTTAAATCCAGTATTCTAAGAGAGTGCTCACAATCACTATAGACTTCCTCATCCAAGTTTATGTTCCTATTAGCTAGCACCTTCAGAATTCAACTCCACATGTTCACCCCCAGCTCTTGCCTATACCTACAGGCTATGAATTGCGGTAACTTTGGGTATACTTACTTTCTTCTCATATCAGATTCAGAACATCCTCAGCTTATTTAGTTTATGATTTAAGCTTGGTTGTGGACACAGTAGCAGAGAGGGAGCTAGGACATATTGAGTGTTGAAATACGTGGTCATGGAGAAGCAAAGTCTCTACATAAAACAAATGAGAGAAGATTAGTATGTAAGGAAAATTTGGCTACTTTTGTAGTCTAGTCTAGGGAAGTTTAGGGAAATCTGAGGATTCAAGGTTTTATGGCACACCAACTCAGACATCCCAACTATGTGTCACAATTAAATTCTTCCCCAAATCTGGTTCTGGCTTTGGCATCACCAACCAGCTTTGATACTCTGCCAATTAAGTCATTAATCTGGTTTTCATGTTTCCTCTGCCCTCCCACAAAGAGGTGACACGTTTCTGTATGTCGCAAAGGAGACCTTCTGTTGTTTGCACTTATCTTTCAAATTTTTAATTATTCTTCCTCTCTCAACTTCTAGTTACAATGCTCTAGAATATCAATTGAGTTAGTGATAGCAACTGAATTTCATATTTTTGTAGTTACTATGTTCCCCAGAATTATCAAACACCTAATATAACACATAAGCTAATATAATCTTTTCCGTAGATAAAGCATCCCAATTCACTACTGGTAAAAAAATAAAAAAATAAATAGGACCACCACCGGGGATTAGGTCCTAATTGCTAGCTGGGGGATGAATGCTTCTGCTTTAATTTTTTGTCTTAGTTTCTACTTTCTTGGCCCTCATCTGCTACTAACTAACAGTGGTAGGTTTGCTACCACTGAAAGCCAGCTCATTTGAGATGGAGCTTAGCATGCTGGTTATTAATTAAGGAAACCCTTCCTTGGAATTAATATCCATGGAAAAGAGAGAAAGGAAGCAGCTTGGACAGACGGAGAGGTCATACGGCAAGCAGCTTCAATGGCAGAACTGTCAGACACCCAGGGAGTTATGGAACTAGACTTTTTCTTCAGTATTGTTTCAATATGAGTTGAAATGGTCAAGAATTGATTAGTTGTTGGATGCAGGTTGCCCTGAGAAGGAGCATGGCTTTGAAGAGGTGACTCTCTTCAACCCACAGCAATTTCTCTTCAGAGACACTTCGTGGAAGGAAGCTGAAGATGTTTGCAGCAATAGACCTAAATCCTCCATTGAAGGTGGATTTGGGTGGTGCATCACAGAATTCACCACAGATTAAGGGTAGGCTGAACATTTAACCCTTATGAAATTAAAGTGGAAATATGAAAGAAGGGAGGTGTTTCATTTTTAAAATATTGCATAATTGTAAGAGTAATTTCAAGAATCCATGTAGGAATAATTCTGCTACATATAAATAAATACTGTCATCATCTTCATTTCCTAGTATAGTGAAAAAGAAGAGGAAATAGAGCAGAAACTCAACTGAAAGGTCATTTCTTCCACTTTTTAGAAATTTAGTCTTAAGGAAATCCCTTAAACTTGACTGAAATGGTTTTCCTTTCCTGTAAAAAGTGAAGGAGTATCTCTACATTGCTGTTTTGAATGTTCTGTGTGGCTCTGACAGTATCTAGAACAGAGCCTATGATCCTGTTACTTATTTAATATTTTTGAAAAAAATTACCAGTATTTTCAACTCAGTATAATATTAAAATATATATTAATAGAAAATATATAACATAAAATAATTGCATGTAATTTTATTACTTTCAAAAGTATATACTATAATTCTATGAATTGGGCAATGTGTAGATCCCCCACAAAAAAGAAAGCATAAACATAAAAGCATAAAAAAAGATGATTATGTTAGCATGTGCAAACACTAGTGGAAGTTTTGGCATAATGTTCTCATTATACGGAAAGTATATATTTGAAAATAAATACTTTTTATATACTTCAAATGTTCCTTCTTTTATATTTCTAATTTACTCTGAATTTTTTCCAAGATAAATTTATTTTAATTACTGATCTTAATAGCTGGGTTTCTGCCAGACTTCATGCTAAATTTTATGCTAGAGATCTCTTGTGTTCATATTGTATCACCAATGTTTTGGCCCTAATGCATAAGATTTTTATAAATTAATATTGAGTGAGAGGTGAAAGAATAAATAAATAAGATAATTTATTAAAAAGTAATAATTATAATATAATATTATCCAAAATACGTCCTAAATAACTACCCCAGGCAATTAAGGAAATACAGATAATGAGGGTCCAGGAAGGCAATGCTAATGATAAACAAGTCATTATTGGATTTTTTTTTACCACTCAAAGATCAGCAATGACCAAGAAAGAAAATTAATTTGTATAACTCTTTGTCCTCACAATCTGTCTGTCTAGTAATTGACTGATAATAAATATTTCTTGAAGGAATGGATAAACTTTGTCAGAAACGAACTCTAATGTGTAAGAACTCAAATAAAACTTGAGAAGGCGACTGCAATGACTAGATATTGCCAGAGGAGGGAAGCAAAGGGTAACAGAGCAGCTGGCTGGTTGAGCAAAAGGTACCCCTCAGAAAGCCTTCAGAAAGGACAGTTACTGCAGTGGCAAGTTGTGGTCAACGATTAGAAAAGTAGTTTATGTGACAAAGACTGTGTTTGAGTCAAGAGAGAAGTTACTCCCAAGAGGCAAGTCAAGCCATTAGTCAAGACTAGAGGGCGGTATGTAAAACTGGAAGGGTAAAGCCAAAATATGATGCACTGAGAAAAAGCCATGCACCAGGCAATTAAACAAGGAATAATAAGGCTTCAGAAATGTAGTCAGTTGGAAAATATCTTCTGACAATTTTTGCGTTGCTCTGTGCATCTTTTAAATATCTTTGTCTGGTTTGGGAACTGAAATATCTGCTTCTTAAAGTGACAGGACCTTATCTTGGGGATTATCACCTAATGTAAAGTGCATAGTTTAATTTTCAAAAGTTGTTAAATATTGAGGAAAGCAAAGATTAAGAGCTCTCTTTGATTAGAGATTCAAGAAACTATCTATAAAGAAAAGAGTAGGTGAATGTTAGCCATCAAAAACCAGTGATCAAGTTTTACCTTATAAATCTAGAGAGATTTATTTCACCTAACAGTTCTTATCTCTTCTGGTTGTTCTCGAATGGAATAAATATATTCCAGCATTTTCTTCAGGTTCACTAACAATGGAAAAAAAACAGATATGGGCTTGATTTGTTTTGGTATAGACTTGTTCTATAACCTAGGTTGTGTTTCTCAATTTAAGTACAAGGCATTCTGACTTAATTTCTTGACTTTTTACTCGAAATGTTTTTGCTTATGGAATCCTGCTGTAAACTTTAAAATTTAGTTTAGCTTTACTATAAGTACATGGAGTATGACTGGGCTTATGCATGAATTAGGAAAGTGATTCAGATTTATAATGCTGCTTTTTTCCCCCAGCTCAAATAAAGTGTTTTTAGTGGACAGCCACAGCCAAAATTATGACTGACATTGCATCCCATTTCCCTGGATCTCAGATATCAAAACAATACAGATTAGACCTTAAGTTCATCACTTCCTGTGGATTTCGATTTAAACTTTGCTAAATTCAAAATTCCTAAATTATGATCCCAGTGCTGTTAATGATTTCTCTGTTTCTAGATAAGTCACATAGTCTCTCTATGCCTGTTTTATTTATTCTTTTAATTTTTTATTCACACCTAATGATTGAACAGATGTATAGGGTACATGTGATATTTTGATACTAGCATATGATGTATAATTATCAAATCCAGGTAATTGGGATATTCATCACGTCAAATATTTATCATGCCTTTGTGTTGGAAAAATTCCGTATCTTCTCTTCTAGCTATTTTAAAATACGTAATAAATTTTGTAAACTATAGTCTCCCTATTATGCTACCAAACACTCAGTCTTATCCCCTCTGTCTAATTGTGTTTTTGTATCCATTAACCAACTGCTCTTTATCCCCTTCTTAATACACTTCCTAGCCTCTGGTAAGCACTATTGTATTTGCTACCTTTATGAGATCATTTTTTTCAGCTCCCACATATGAGTGAGAACACTTGATATTTGTCTTTCTGTGTCTGGCTTATTGAATTTCACATAATTTTCTCCACTTCTACCCATGTTGCTGCAAATGGCAGGATTTCATTCTTTTTATGACTGAATAATATTATATTGTGTATATACATTTTCTTTATGCATTCAACCATTGATGACCACTTAAAGTGATTCCATACCTTGGGTATTGGGAAGAGTGCTGCAATACCTTTAATTTGTATGTTTAGACTAGGCCAGAAGCTTTTTAATGGGAGGTTCAGTTTGAGAGGCTAAAATGAGGTCTCTGTTCGGACAGAAGTTATTTTGACCTTTTCACTTCTATCTGTTTAGTTATATGTGAGTTGAGAATGTCTCACAAGGGGATAAAGGGGTTTGTGAGTGCTACATATAACATTTTTTTTGTGCAAAGACAATGTTACACATTCAAATGTGCTCTCCACAAAAAAGATGTGAAGTCCTAATTCTCAGTACACATGAATGCAAATTTATTTAGGAATAGGGTCATTACAAATGTAATTAATTAGCATAAGGTAATACTAGAGTAAGGTGAGCCCTAATCCAATATGACTGGTTTCTTTAAAAGAAGACAATGCCATATGAAGACAGAGACACACAAGGAGAAGACCACATGATGGAAGAGGCAGATATTGGAATGACGCAGCTGCAAGCGAATGAATGCCAAGGATTAATGGCCACCATCAGAAGCTAGGAAGAGGCTAAAAACAATTTAACCCAGAATCTCAGAGTCAGCGTGGCACTGCTAACTCATTGGTTTCAGATATCTAGACTCTGGAACTAACAGAGAATGTATTTCTGTTGTTTTAAGCCACTCAATTTGTAGTACTTTGTGATAGCAGTCCTAGGCAACTAATAGAACAAAGACAATAATAAGTTATTTGTGAAAAGAAACAAAGACACTGAGACACTGATGAAAATGTTAAAATGCACACCTTGTCGAGAGATTCAAGAAACTATCCAAAACTGAGAGCTTAGTTTCAGTAAACACATGCGGTCAAAATACAGTCTTTTCCCATAAACTTTGTTGTGTTGCCCAATTTAAATAGTATCCTGACTTAATTTTCTATTTTAAATTTATTTTTAAAGGTCTAAGGTAGGAGGAAGGGATTGTATTAGTCAGGGTTCTCTAGAGGGACAGAACTAATAGGATAGTTGTATATAAAAAGAGGAGCTTAATAAGGAGTATTAACTCACATGATCACAAGGTCCCACAATAGGCAGTCTGCAAGCTGAAGAGAGAGGAAGCCAGTCTGAGTCCTAAAGCTGAAGAACTTGGAGTGCAATGTTCGAGGGCAGGAAGCATCCAGCATGGGAAAGAAATGTAGGCTGGGAGACTAAGCCAGTCTACCTTTTCAAGTTTTTCTGCCTGCTTTATATCCTGGATGAGCTGGCAGCTGATTAGATGTTGCCCACCCAGATTAAGTGTTGGTCTGCCCTTCCCACCCCACTGACTCAAATGTTAATTTCCTTTGGCAACACCCTCACAGACAAACCCAGGATCAATACTTTGCATCCTTCAATCTAACCAAGTTGACACTCAGTATTAACCATCACAGGGGTTATATGATAATTCTAGTTAGGATGCAAGTAAAAGCAATACTAAAAACTATTACATGCACAATTTCAACTCATCATTTACAAACATGTTTAAAACTTGACTTAAGTAGTTTTCCTTCCAATAATGGCTAAGTAGCTGATATCAGACCAAATCTTTTAGAAAGGACTTGTAATATCTTTGAAAATTATCTTTAAAAAATCAGAAAGACAAAACTTAGGCAGATATTAAAGGGATAGCAAAACTTTCAGCAATGTATATGCATTGGTTAAGTTTCACATTTTACAAGCGTTCTGCTTGAGGACACAGTCAAGCACCACACTTCGTCTTGTGGTAAAGCTACAGTTTATTTCTTCAGTGTGTAGTCTTGTTAACTGGATGAACCAGAGGACAGAGTTTGAATTCCTGACCCATAAGAAATTGAAGGGGTGATATTCAAGAAAGGAGAGGCACAGAAAAGAGTAGTACCAAATACTGTGTGTAAACTCAATTCATATCTCTGGTAGATCTATTGACCATGCACCTGTAAAGCAGATGCCAAAAAGACCATTTCAGGCTAAAATAATTGAAGCTAGAATTCAGATGCTGCTCACTGGAGAGGATACAGATCTTCCAGACTGAGTTCAGCTGTTTAATTGGGAGAAAAGGAAATCATCTTCAGAAAAACAAAACAGAATTCAGAGCCTCCAGTATGTATGTTCCACAATGTCCAGGTTACACTCCAAAATTACTCATATATAAATAAATAAGAATAAATGATCCAAATTTAAAAAAAATCAATAGAGAAAAAGCTGAAGTTGTCTCAAAAGATGAAATTAACAGTTTTAAAATGATTATTATTACTATACACTAGAATACAAAGAAAAAATAGGCTCATAATAAATGTAAAGATAGGAAATCTGAGTGGATAAATAAAAAATATATTAAAGCTAAAATTTTAAATCTGAAAAATAAAATATCTGGCCTTAAAATAATCACTATATGGGCTTAACAACATATTAAAAATTATCAAAGAAACAGTATATATACAAATTGATCATTAGAAAATATCCAATTCTGAAAAAGGGGGAGAAAATAGATTTAACAAAATGAATAGAACTTATGAAACCTGTGGATCAATACAAAAGTTATAATACACATTTAAATGATACATAGAAAAAGAGGAAAACAAATGGCTGCAGAAATAACATCTGAAGAAATATGAAATGCATTTCAGAAACGTAGTGATAAACATGAATTTTTAAATTCAAGATCATTCAGTTTGAAACAAAATTAAAAACAACTAAATGTTTTAATAAAAGCATAACTATATCACAAATTTCTGAAAACTGAAAATAATGTCCTGAGAGAAATATGACAAATTATATTAAAAAAAGATTCAAATATCCACTGATTTCTCACTAGAAACAATGGAAAACTAGATGACATTGAAATACTCTTGTGTTAGTCTATTTGCACTGCTATAAAGAAATACCTGAGACGAGTTAATTTATAAAGAAAAAAAGCTTATTTTGACTATTGGCTCTGCAGGCCATACAGGAAGCTTAGTGTCGGCATCTGCTTCTGTTGAGGGCCCAGGAAGCTTACAATCATGGTGGAAGGCAAAGGGTGAGCAGGCATGTTCCAAAGCAAGAGAGAAAGCAAGACAGAGGAAGCAAAAAAGAGATAGAGGAGGTGCCACATTCCTTTAAGTAATCAGATCTTGCCTGAACTCAGAGGGAGAGCTCACTCATTACCTTACAAGAAGGGTGTATTAGTCTGTTTTGAAACTGCTATGAAGAAATACCCAAGACTGGGTAATTTATAAAGAAAAGAGGTCTAATTAACTCACAGTTCTGCATGGCTTGAGGGTGGGCTCAGGAAATTTACAATCATGTCAAAAGGCACATCTTCAGAAGGTGGCAGGAGAGAAAATGAGTGCCAAGTGAAGGGGGAAGCCCCTTATAAAACCATCAGATCTGGGGGAGGAGCCAAGATGGCCGAATAGGAATAGCTCCGGTCTACAGCTCCCAGCGTGAGTGACGCAGAAGACGGGTGATTTCTGCATTTCCATCTGAGGTACCGGGTTCATCTCACTAGGGAGTGCCAGACAGTGGGCGCAGGTCAGTGGGTGCGCACACCATGCACGAGCCGAAGCAGGGCGAGGCATTGCCTCACTTGGGAAGCGCAAGGGGTCAGGGAGTTCCCTTTCTGAGTCAAAGAAAGGGGTGACGGACGGCACCTGGAAAATCGGGTCACTCCCACCCGAATACTGCGCTTTTCCGACGGGCTTAAAAAACGGTGCACCACCAGATTATATCCCGCACCTGGCTCGGAGGGTCCTACGCCCATGGAGTCTCACTGATTGCTAGCACAGCAGTCTGAGATCAAACTGCAAGGCTGCAGCGAGGGTGGGGGAGGGGCGCCCACCATTGCCCAGGCTTGATTAGGTAAACAAAGCAGCCGGGAAGCTCGAACTGGGTGGAACCCACCACAGCTCAAGGAGGCCTGCCTGCCTCTGTAGGCTCCACCTCTGGGGGCAGGGCACAGACAAACAAAAAGACAGCAGTAACCTCTGCAGACTTAAATGTCCCTATCTGACAGCTTTGAAGAGAGCAGTGGTTCTCCCAGCACGCAGCTGGAGATCTGAGAACAGGCAGACTGCCTCCTCAAATGGGTCCCTGACCCCTGACCCCTGAGCAGCCTAACTGGGAGGCACCCCCCAGCAGGGGCACACTGACACCTAACACGGCAGGGTACTCCAACAGACCTGCAGCTGAGGGTCCTCTCTGTTAGAAGGAAAACTAACAAACAGAAAGGACATCCACACCAAAAACCCATCTGTACATCACCATCATCAAACACCAAAAGTAGATAAAACCACAAAGATGGGGAAAAAACAGAACAGAAAAACTGGAAACTCTAAAAAGCAGAGCGTCTCTCCTCCTCCAAAGGAACGCAGTTCCTCAGCAGCAACGGAACAAAGCTGGATGGAGAATGACTTTGACGAGCTGAGAGAAGAAGGCTTCAGACGATCAAATTACTCTGAGCTACGGGAGGACATTCAAACTAAAGGCAAAGAAGTTGAAAACTTTGAAAAAAATTTAGAAGAATGTATAACTAGAATAACCAATACAGAGAAGTGCTTAAAGGAGCTGATGGAGCTGAAAACCAAGGCTCGAGAACTACGTGAAGAATGCAGAAGCCTCAGGAGCCGACGCGATCAACTGGAAGAAAGGGTATCAGCAATGGAAGATGAAATGAATGAAATGAAGCGAGAAGGGAAGTCTAGAGAAAAAAGAATAAAAAGAAATGAGCAAAGCCTCCAAGAAATATGGGACTATGTGAAAAGACCAAATCTACGTCTGATTGGTGTACCTGAAAGTGATGGGGAGAATGGAACCAAGTTGGAAAACACTCTGCAGGATATTATCCAGGAGAACTTCCCCAATCTAGCAAGGCAGGCCAACGTTCAGATTCAGGAAATACAGAGAACGCCACAAAGATACTCCTCGAGAAGAGCAACTCCAAGACACATAATTGTCAGATTCACCAAAGTTGAAATGAAGGAAAAAATGTTAAGGGCAGCCAGAGAGAAAGGTCGGGTTACCCTCAAAGGGAAGCGCATCACACTAACAGCGGATCTCTTGGCAGAAACCCTACAAGCCAGAAGAGAGAGGGGGCCAATATTCAACATTCTTAAAGAAAAGAATTTTCAACCCAGAATTTCATATCCAGCCAAACTAAGCTTCATAAGTGAAGGAGAAATAAAATACTTTACAGACAAGCAAATGCTGAGAGATTTTGTCACCACCAGCCCTGCCTTACAAGAGCTCCTGAAGGAAGCACTAAACATGGAGAGGAACAACCGGTACCAGCTGCTGCAAAATCATGCCAAAATGTAAAGACCATCGAGACTAGGAAGAAACTGCATCAACTAATGAGCAAAATAACCAGCTAACATCATAATGACAGGATCAAATTCACACATAACAATATTAACTTTAAATGTAAATGGACTAAATGCTCCAATTAAAAGACACAGACTGGCAAATTGGATAAAGAGTCAAGACCCATCAGTGTGCTATATTCAGGAAACCCATCTCACGTGCAGAGACACATATAGGCTCAAAATAAAAGGATGCAGGAAGATCTACCAAGCCAATGGAAAACAAAAAAAGGCAGGGGTTGCAATCCTAGTCTCTGATAAAACAGACTTCAAACCAACAAAGATCAAAAGAGACAAAGAAGGCCATTACATAATGGTAAAGGGATCAATTCAACAAGAAGAGCTAACTATCCTAAATATATATGCACCCAATACAGGAGCACCAAGATTCAAAATGCAAGTCCTGAGTGACCTACAAAGAGACTTAGACTCCCACACATTAATAATGGGAGACTTTAACACCCCACTGTCAACATTAGACAGAACGAGACAGAAAGTCAACAAGGATACCCAGGAATTGAACTCAGCTCTGCACCAAGCGGACCTAATAGACATCTACAGAACTCTCCACCCCAAATCAAGAGAATATACATTTTTTTCAGCACCACACCACACCTATTCCAAAATTGACCACATACTGGGAAGTAAAGCTCTCCTCAGCAAATGTAAAAGAACAGAAATTATAACAAACTATCTCTCAGACCACAGTGCAATCAAGCTAGAACTCAGGATTAAGAATCTCACTCAAAACCACTCAACTACATGGAAACTGAACAACCTGCTCCTGAATGACTACTGGGTACATAACGAAATGAAGGCAGAAATAAAGATGTTCTTTGAAACCAACAAGAACAAAGATACAACATACCAGAATCTCTGGGACGCATTCAAAGCAGTGTATAAAGGGAAATTTATAGCACTAAATGCCCACAAGAGAAAGCAGGAAAGACCAAAATTGACACCCTAACATCACAATTAAAAGAACTAGAAAAGCAAGAGCAAACACATTCAAAAGCGAGCAGAAGGCAAGAAATAACTAAAATCAGAGCAGAACTGAAGGAAATAGAGACACAAAAAAACCTTCAAAAAATTAATGAATCCAGGAGCTGGTTTTTTGAAAGGATCAACAAAATTGATAGACCTCTAGCAAGACTAATAAAGAAAAAAAGAGAGAAGAATCAAATAGACACAATAAAAAATGATAAAGGGGATATCACCACCGATCCCACAGAAATACAAACTACCATCAGGGAATACTACAAACACCTCTACGCAAATAAACTAGAAAATCTAGAAGAAATGGATAAATTCCTTGACACAGACACTCTCCCAAGACTAAACCAGGAAGAAGTTGAATCTATGAATAGACCAATAACAGGATCTGAAATTGTGGCAATAATCAATAGCTTACCAACCAAAAAGAGGCCAGGACCAGATGGATTCACAGCCAAATTCTACCAGAGGTACAAGGAGAAACGGGTACCATTCCTTCTGAAACGATTCCAATCAATAGAAAAAGAGGGAATCCTCCCTAACTCATTTTATGAGGCCAGCAACATTTTGATACCAAAGCCAGGCAGAGACACAACAAAAAAAGAGAATTTTAGAACAATATCCTTGATGAACATTGATGCAAAAATCCTCAATAAAATACTGGCAAAACGAATCCAGCAGCACATCAAAAAGCTTATCCACCATGATCAAGTGGGCTTCATCCCTGGGATGCAAGGCTGGTTCAATATACGCAAATCAATAAATGTAATCCAGCATATAAACAGAGCCAAAGACAAAAACCACATGATTATCTCAATAGATACAGAAAAAGCCTTTGACAAAATTCAACAACCCTTCATGCTAAAAATTCTCAATAAATTAGGTATTGATGGCACGTATTTCAAAATAATAAGAGCTATCTATGACAAACCCACAGCCAATATCATACTGAATGGGCAAAAACTGGAAGCATTCCCTTTGAAAACTGGCACAAGACAGGGATGCCCTCTCTCACCACTCCTATTCAACATAGTGTTGGAAGTTCTGGCCAGGGCAATTAGACAGAAGAAGGAAATAAAGGGTATTCAATTAGGAAAAGAGGAAGTCAAATTGTCCCTGTTTGCAGACGACATGATTGTATATCTAGAAAACCCCATTGTCTCAGCCCAAAATCTCCTTAAGCTGATAAGCAACTTCAGCAAAGTCTCAGGATACAAAATCAATGTACCAAAATCACAAGCATTCTTATACACCAACAACAGACAAACACAGAGCCAAATCATGAGTGAACTCCCATTCACAATTGCTTCAAAGAGAATAAAATACCTAGGAATCCAACTTACAAGGGATGTGAAGGACCTCTTCAAGGAGAACTACAAACCACTGCTCAATGAAATAAAAGAGGATACAAACAAATGGAAGAACATTCCATGCTCATGGGTAGGAAGAATCAATATCGTGAAAATGGCCATACTGCCCAAGGTAATTTACAGATTCAATGCCATCCCCATCAAGCTACCAATGACTTTCTTCACAGAATTGGAAAAAACTACTTTAAAGTTCATATGGAACCAAAAAAGAGCCCGCATTGCCAAGTCAATCCTAAGGCAAAAGAACAAAGCTGGAGGCATCACACTACCTGACTTCAAACTATACTACAAGGCTACAGTAACCAAAACAGCATGGTACTGGTACCAAAACAGAGATATAGATCAATGGAACAGAACAGAGCCCTCAGAAATAATGCCACATATCTACAACTATCGGATCTTTGACAAACCTGAGAAAAACAAGCAATGGGAAAGGATTCTCTATTTAATAAATGGTGCTGGGAAAACTGGCTAGCCATATGTAGAAAGCTGAAACTGGATCCCTTCCTTACACCTTATACAAAAATTAATTCAAGATAGATTAAAGACTTAAACGTTAGACCTAAAACCATAAAAACTCTAGAAGAAAACCTAGACATTACCATTCAGGACATAGGCATGGGCAAGGACTTCCTGTCTAAAACACCAAAAGCAATGGCAACAAAAGACAAAATTGACAAATGGGATCTAGTTAAACTAAAGAGCTTCTGCACAGCAAAAGAAACTACCATCAGAGTGAACAGGCAACCTACAAAATGGGAGAAAATTTTCACAACCTACTCATCTGACAAAGGGCTAATATCCAGAATCTACAATGAACTCAAATTTACAAGAAAAAAACAAACAACCCCATCAAAAAGTGGGCGAAGGACATGAACAGACACTTCTCAAAAGAAGACATTTATGCAGCCAAAAAACACATGAAAAAATGCTCATCATCACTGGCCATCAGAGAAATGCAAATCAAAACCACAATGAGATACCATCTCACACCAGTTAGAATGGCAATCATTAAAAAGTCAGGAAACAACAGGTGCTGGAGAGGATGTGGAGAAATAGGAACACTTTTACACTGTTGATGGGACTGTAAACTAGTTCAACCATTGTGGAATTCAGTGTGGCAATTCCTCAGGGATCTAGAACTGGAAATACCATTTCACCCAGCCATCCCATTACTGGGTATATACCCAAAGGACTATAAATCATGCTGCTATAAAGACACATGCCCACCTATGTTTATTGTGGCATTATTCACAATAGCAAAGACTTGGAACCAACCCAAATGTCCATCAATGATAGACTGGATTGAGAAAATGTGGCACATATACACCATGGAATACTATGCGGCCATAAAAAATGATGAGTTCATGTCCTTTGTAGGGACATGGATGAAATTGGAAATCATCATTCTCAGTAAACTATCGCAAAAAACCAAACACCGCATATTCTCACTCATAGGTGGGAACTGAACAATGAGATCACATGGACACAGGAAGGGGAATATCACAATCTGGGGACTGTTGTGGGGTGGGGGGAGGGGAGAGGGATAGCATCGGGAGATATACCTAATGCTAGATGATGAGTTAGTGGGTGCAGCGCACCAGCATGGCACATGTATACATATGTAACTAACCAGCACAATGTGCACATGTACCCTAAAACTTAAAGTATAAATAAAAAAATAAAATAAAATAAAACCATCAGATCTTGTGAAAACTTACTCCCTATCACAAGAACAGCACGGGGAAACCAGTCCTATGATTCAATTGTATACACCTGGTCCCACCCTTGACACATGGAGATTATTACAATTCAAGGTGAGATTTGGATCGGGACATAGAGCCAGATCATATCGTTCCATGCCTGACCCCTCAAAATATCATGTCCTCCTACATCAAGGCAAGTCCCTTCTGTCTATGAGGCAGTAAAATCAAACACAAGTGAGTTACTTTTTTAGATACAATGGGGGTGCAGGCATTGCATAAATGCACCCATTCCAAATGGGAGAAATTAGTCAAAACAAAGGGGCTACAGGCTCCATGCAAATCTGAAATCCAATAAGGTGGTCATTAAAGCTTAAAGTTACAAAATGATCTTCTTTGACTCTATGTCACACATCCAGGTTACACTGATGCAAGAGATGAACTCCCCTGGTGTTGGGCAGCTTCAGCCCTGTGACTTTGCAGGGTACAGTCCTCCTCTGGGCTGCTTTCATGGGCTGCCATTGAGTGCCTGTGGCTCTTCCTGGCACATGGTGCAAGCCATTGATGGATCTACCATTCTGGGGTCTGGAGGATGATGTCCCTCTCCTCACAGCTGCACTAGGCAGTGCCCGGGTGGGGAATCTGTGTGTGGACTCCATCCCCATACTTCCCTTCTGCACTGCCCAAGCAGAGGTTTTCCATGAGGGCTCCACCTCTGCAGCAAACTTCTGCCTGGACACCCAGGCATTTCCATACATCCTCTGCATCTAGGCAGAGGTTCCCCAACCTCAATTCTTTTTTTTAATTATTAAACTTTAAGCTCTAGGGTACAGGTGCACAACACGCAGGTTTGTTACATAGATAAACATGTGCCATGTTGGTTTGCTGCACCCGTCAACTCATCATTTACATGAGGTATTTCTCCTAATGCTATCCCTCCCACAGTCCCCCACCCCCCAACAGGCTCCAGTGTGTGATGTTCCCCACCCTGGGTCTATGTGTTCTCATTGTTCAATTCCCACCTATGAGTGAGAACATGTGGTATTTGGTTTTCTGTCCTTGTGATAGTTTGCTGAGAATGATGGTTTCCAGCTTCATCCATGTCACTGCAAAGGACATGAACTCATCCATTTTCTTAATCCAGTCTATCACTGATGGACATTTGGGTTGGTTCCAAGTCTTTGCTATTGTGAATAGTGCCACAGTAAACATATGTGTGCATGCATCTTTATAGTAGCATTATTTATAATCCTTTGGGTATGTACCCAGTAATGGGATCACTGAGTTAAATGATACTTCTAGTTCTAGATCACTGAGGAATTGCCACACTGTCTTCCACAATGGTTGAACTAATTTACACTCCCACCAACAGTGTAAAAGCATTTCATTTCTCCACATCCTCTCCAGCATCTGTTGTTTCCTGACTTTTAGTGATTGCCATTCTAACTGGCATGGGATGATATCTCATTGTGGTTTTGATTTGCATTCCCTGATGACAAGTGATGATGAGCGTTTTTTCATGTGTCTGTTGGCTGCATAAATATCTTCTTTTGAGAAGTGTCTGTTCATATCCTTTGCCCACTTTTTGATGGGGTTGTTTGTTTCTTGTAAATTTGTTTAAGTTATTTGTAGATTCTGTATATTAGCCCTTTGTCAGTTGGGTAGATGTCAAAAATTTTCTCCCATTCTGTAGGTTGCCTGCTCACTCTGATGGTAGTTTCTTTTGCTGTGCAGAAGCTCTTTAGTTTAATTAGATCCCATTTGTCTATTTTGACTTTTGTTGCCATTGCTTTTGGTGTTTTTGTTGCCATTGCGTTTTGAATTTTGTTGCCATTGCTTTACTCGTGAAGTTTTTGGTTATGCCTATGTCCTGAATGGTATTGCCTTGGTTTTCTTCTAGGGTTTTTATGGTTTTAAGTCTTACATTTAAGTCTTTAATTCCATCTTGAATTAATTTTTCTATAAGGTGAAAGGAAGAGGCCCAGTTTCAACTTTCTACATATGGCTAACCAGTTTTCCCAGCACCATTTATTAAATCGGGAATCCTTTCCCCATTTCTTGTTTTTGTCAGGTTTGTCAAAGATCAGATGGTTGTAGATGTGTGGTGTTATTTCTGAGGCCTCTCTTCTGTTCCATTAGTCTATATATCTGTTTCGGTACCAGTACCAGTACCATGCTGTTTTGGTTAATGTAGCCTTGTAGTACAGTTTGAAGTCAGGTAGCGTGATGCTTCCAGCTTTGTTCTTTTTGCTTAGGATTGTCTTGGCTATGTGGGCTTTTTTCTGGTTCCAAATGAACTTTAAAGTGTTTTTTCCAATTTTGTGAAGAAAGTCATTGGTAGCTTGATGGGGATGGCATTGACTCTATAGATTACCTTAGGCATTATGGCCATTTTCACAATATTGATTCTTCCTATCCATGAGCATGGAATGTTCTTCCATTTGTTTGTGTCCTCTTTTATTTCACTGAGCAGTGCTTTGTAGTTCTTCCACCAGATACCCTAAATCATCTTTCTCAAATTGAAACTTCCAGAGATATATAGGGCAGGGGCAAAATGCCTCCAGTCTCTTCACTAGAGCATAACAAATGTCACCTTTGTTCCAGTTCCCAACAAATTCCTCATCTACATCTGTGACCACATCAACCTGAAATGTATTGTCCATATGACTATTAGCATTTTGGTCAAAACTATTCAACAAGTCCCTAGGAAGTTCCACACTTTCCCATGTCTTCCTGTCTTCTGAGCCCTCCAAGTCCCTAGGAAGTTCCAAATTTTCCCACATTTTCCTGTCTTCTTCTGAGCCCTCTAAACTGCTCCAATCTCTGCCTTTTACCAAATTCCAAAGTCACTTCTACATTTTCAAGTATCTTTATAGCAGCACCTACTCTCTGCATTACCAGTTTACTGTATTAGTTCATTCTCACACTGCTATAAAAAATACCCAAGACTGGGTGATTTATATAGAAGAGGTTAATTGACTCAAAGTTCCACATGGCTTGGTAGGCCTCAAGAAACTTACAATCCTGATAGAAGTCACCTCTTCACAGGATGGCAAGAGAGAGAATGAGTGCCAAGTGAAGGGGGAAGCTCCTTATGAAACAATCAGATATTGTGAGAACTCACTCACTATCATAAGAACAGCATGGGGGAAACCACCCATGATTCAATTTTCTCCACCTAGTCCTGCCTTTGACACATGGGTATTATTACAATTCAACATGAAATTGGGTGGGAACACAGAACCAAACCATATCAGAGGTATTTATGAAGAATTTGCTGCCATGATTTAAACACCTCCCACCAGGCCCCACCTCTAACACTGGGGACCCCATTTCAACATGAGATTTGGAGGAGACAAACACCCAAACTATAGCAACTATCAGTGAAATTCTTTCAAAAGGGAACTTCCAGAATGGTGGAATAAAAATATCAGAGGATCCTTTCATCAGCAACATAACAAATTAATTGATAAAAATTATAAAACAAAAATAATGTTTCATTTGTGAAATTTTACTTATATTCATTTAAGAAAATCTTCCGTCTTTGCACAAAATACAGTGAGAGTCTATAGAATTTGAACTATAACCCATATTCTGACCCTTCCCACTTATTCCACCCCTAGCTCTGTGTTATGAATCTCTACCATGGGCATTCTACTCCCAAGGAAGTGTGGCAAAAAAGACAATGACTTGCTCTATCCAACTCATAGTCTTGGGATGTGGTTTCACATAAAGATGGTCAGGATGCTAACATTTCTTATGCCTCCCAGCCCTGTCCTGCAGAATCTTCATACCATCTGAGCACTTTGGATAGCACTGGTGTCCCTTTTCCCATCCAGCCCCCAACCATAAAATGGACATTGTACTCCAGGAATGCAGACCAAGAATATTGGGCCCCAAGTGCCCCTTTCCCAGTTGGCTTATAAATATAATTTCCATGATAGGAGAGCCAAGCTGAAAAGAGAAGAATCTACTTCCCACCACCAGTGCACACTTGTAATATGAGTAGTTTTCTGGAAAATCTGATCCTCTAACACACCAGTTCTGTTGCACTTGTGAAGAGATTATGCATGTGGGGAAGGCAAGTCCTAACAATGAAGACTTCCACAGATCTGACTGAGGAAACTGACTATATTTGGTACCAAACATGAGAAATTCCATGCCTGAGGACATTTTCAGAAACAATGGAAATCTTGGTGGAGAGCAATTAATAGGAGTTTGGTAGTTCCATAGAGATCATATTCAACTATGAACCAGGAAGAAGATGAAAATGTGCTAGACTGTGTAATAATAATATTGAGTAGGAACCCGGGAGCAATCAGTACATAACCTGGACAGACTTAAAAATATTTATCCAGTCAAACATAGACACATCAACACAAGGCAGAGGCTTCACTGGTTTAAAGACAACCCCAGAGTGAACACTACTGAATAATAAGCTACGTGGTCCTAGAGGCAACTCCTAGAATGCCATGCTTATAGATAAATTCATACTTCGCCCTGCAGTTTGAAAGACTCAGGAATGCCCATGGCTGTATCTTCTCAGTACTGACTGAAGAGAAAAAAATAGAAGCTACTAGTCCCTGGATGAAAATGGGGCAAACACAAAAGCTTATTGAATTGTGATAGTAGGCTCCAACAATTCACATATCCAATGAGAAAAGGTAAAAATCTACTGATAAAGGAAGCTTAAGCCCAACCTTTGACCACCATGTGACTTATATTGACCTGGAAGTGACCCCTAGGTAACTAAACTAAACATAAAAATTAAAAACAAGGGAACAAAATCTGAGCAAAAACATCAGAGGCTGAAAACAGGCAAAATAGACTTTGGAAAAATAACTTATTCAAATGATGAAATTTTAAAACTCACAAAAAGACACCACCACCAACACCAAGAAAAACAATAAGAAAACATGGGGAGGTGAATAAGAAGTCAGTACCTAGAATTTCAACAGTATATATGTTTAAAATGTCCAGTTTTCAACAACAAAAATTTATGATACATGTAGGAAAAAGTACAAGTGAGACTCACAAATGAGAAAAATAATCAGGCAATAAAAATTACTGTTGAAGTACACAGATGGTGGAATTAGCACAGACTTCACAGTAGCTGTTATAAATATGTTCAAATAATTAATGAAAACCATATTTAAAGAAATGAAGATATAATGACAATGGATTATAAAAGAGAGACTATCAATAAAGAAATAGAAATTGTAAAAAGTCAAATAAAATATGAAGATGAAAAGTAAAAATATGAAAATAGAGTGACAGTGAAAGATTTGAGTAAGAAAAAGAAACAATCAGTGAATTTAAAAATAGATCAACAAGGATTATGCAATAATCTTAACATTTTCAAAATCTGTTGAAAAAAAATCCTTATATTAAGAAGCTCAATAAACTCAAATTAGGATAAACCAAAAGAGATATACACTTAAACACATCCTAATCAAAAGGTTAAGCTAAAGAGAGAAAGAAAATCTTCAAAACATTAAGGGTAAAATGATTCATGACATACAAGAGAAACTCCAATAAAATTAATAGCTGCCTACTCATCAGAAACAATGGCGATGAGAAGGCAGTGTAACAACAGAAGCAAAGTGCTAAGTAAAACAAAGCAAAACAACACAAAAGCTGTTGATCAAGAAGCTTGTATCTAATAAAACTATATTTCAAAATGAAGACAAAAATCAATGCATTCCCAGAAAAACAAAAACTGATAGAATTTATTGCTAGCAGAACTGCTTCACAAAAAAAATAAAGGACATTTCTAGGCTGAAGGCAAGTGATATCATAGATTAATCTGAATACACATAAAAAAGTGTTGGTAAAAACAATTAAGGAGGTAATTTTAAAAGACAGTCTACTTGTATATATTTTTCTCCTGCCTTAAATAATTTAAAAAAGCAATTGCATAAACAATATATTTAAGGGTATTTTTGCACTGTAACATACAGATATATAATGTATTTAGAATATATGTTATATATCCTAAAACATATACAAATATAATATATTTGACAATAACAGCATAATAAAGGTGGGTGGGAAAAAAACTATAATGGAATAAGCAAATTAGTTACCAGATGGTAGCTTAAATTCATAGAAAGAGTACAAGTAAAAGTTAACAAAAATATTAATATAATAAACTATATTTTCTCTACCCTTTTACTTCAACTTATTTAAGAAAAATAAAGTGAAAAAAGCTAATATTTATAATAATTTATTACTGGGTTTGCCAAATATATATATACTTTACATGTACAGCAATAATAGAACAATGAGGGGGGTAAATGGAACTATAAGGAAGTGAAGTTTCTATATTTCACTAAAATTGGGTCAGCATTAATGAATTAAATCAGCAGAAATACTTCTAATAAGTTAAGATGTATGATATAAGCCTTAATGCAACCACTAAGAAAATAACTCAGAATTAAAAAGGGAAACAAAATTTCATACTTAATTATATCCACTTTGTTCAAAAGAAGGCAAAGTTATTCAAAATAAAGAAGAATGAGAGGAATATTATTCAAAAGAAGGAAAAAATATTCTAAATAAGGAAAAATGAGAGGAAGAAAATTCCCGAAAAATAAGAAGAAGGAAAAAGAAGGAGGAGGAGAAGAAGAAGGAGTAGGAACAGGAGGAGGAGGAAGAGGAGGAGGAGGAGGAGAAGAAGAAGGAGGAGGAGAAGGAGGATGAGGAGGAGAAGGAGGAGAAGGAGGAGAAGGAGAAGAAGAAAGCAGAAGAGGAGGAGGAGGAGAAAAATGAGGAGAAGATAGAGAAGAAGGAGAAGGAAGGAAGGAAAAGAAAAACCCTTTCAATCCAGAATTCTATGTCCAGTGAAAGCCTTCATGAATGAACATAAAATAAAAAAGGTTTTGGGGTTTGTTATTGTTTTTGAGACAGAATCTTGCTCTGTTGCCCAGGATGGAGTGCAGTGGTGTGACCTCGGCTCACTGCACCCTCCGCCTCATGGGTGCAAGGGATTCTCACACCTCAGCCTCTGGAGTAGCTGGGGCTATGGGTGAACGGTACCATGCCAGGCTGATTTTTGCATTTTTTAGTAAAGATGGGGATTCCAGGTTGGTCTTGAACTCTTGACCTCAAGTGATTTGCCCACCTTGGCCTCCCGAAGTGCTGAGATTACAGGTGTGAGCCACCATGCCTGGCCAAGAAGTTTTAACATAAAAATAAAACAGGGAAAATTCATCCAAAATGGTCATATTACCCAATGGCAACTTGAATTTTTAAGAATGTAAAATACAGCATGATTTATAATCCTTTGGGTATATATCCAGTAATGGGATTGCTGGGTCAAATGGCACATGTATACATGTGTAACTAACCTGCACGTTGTGCACATGTACCCTAAAACTTAAAGTATAAAAAAAAAAAGAATGAAAAATACAGAGATGTACAACACGTTGGAAAATGTATTTCTTTATCTTAGACTCCTACAAGTGAAATTCTTGGTCAGGGTGTATTCACAGCATCATTATTACTAGATGCTATTCATTTGTCCTCCAAAGTGACCCTACCATTTTATACTTTAGGAAAAAATGTGCTTAACAATATTTGTTATTTTCTGTAAAAGTATTTTTTATTTGATTTCTGTGAACAAGTCTGTTCATTTTGTGTTTATTGATTGCAGAGGAGATTGAAGATCTTTTCTAAGTTCATTTGTGGTTATGGTATATTCCTGTATGCACTGCTTAATGTCATCTCTAGATTTTACATATATTTGGCTGAATAACTTTTTCTCATAGATTTGTAGACACCATGTAAATATTCTGGATATTCATTATTTATTAGTTATATGAGAAGCAGACAGTTTTTACTCTATTATTGGCCTACATTTTCTATATTTATGATATATTCTGTCATGATGGTGTTCTTAATTTTTTCTAAAAGCAAACAGCATTTTAAAAAATAATTTTACGTTATCTGTGTGAATTAAATAAGAGATATTTCCCTCTTATGTCAAAATTTATACATCATATGCCAGATGAGCTAATCACCTTAATATGTACATATCTTTAAATCATGGAAAATTATGACAATAGTTCTGTGAAGTAAAGGGTTAACTCAGTAGGCTTGGGGCATTTACACCCTAAATATCATAAGGAAAGGACTGGTCCTTGACCAATTCCTGTAATATTAATTCCAAGCACTTGGGAAATCCTATGTAATAAAAGTGTCTTTATATACCTGAGACCTTGGGCTATAACAGATAGCTTATATTAATGATTTGATTTATGGTGGGTGCTTGGACCACAATAGATAGTTTATGCTAATAATGTAGTTTATCACGGGAGCAGTAGACCACACTCTATCAACTTGACCTCCGGAGGGGCTGAAGACATAGTGACTAAGATCAGCCATAGTGTCACTTCAAGACTGAGTGACAAGTCCTTAATAAAAACTCCAGACACAAAAGCTCAGGTGAACTTCTCTGGTTGGCAATACTCTATATATGTTGCCACATATATTGCTGTGAGAATTGAGCACCATCTATGTGACTCAACTGACAGAAAAAACTGGAAGCTTGCTCATATTCCTGGACTTCACTTTATGTGCCTTGTACTTTTGCTGATTTTAATCTGTAACCATTCATTGTAATGTGCCATAACCATGAAAAATAACAGCTTTTATGTTGTCTATGATTCCTTACAGTAATCATCAAATGTGAGAGTGGTCTTGGGGACACCCAGTCACAAGAACATTCACCAGAATAAAAATAAAATTACTTCTTTACATTATGAAATAATGGTCACTTTATTAATAATATAAATTCATATTAAAATGTATTTTCAAATTGACAAAATTAAAAAGTGTGTTTGTAGGAGAAATGTAAATTGGTCAAACTCTTTTTTACAAAGTTTAATAAAAATATAAAAATACCAGTGAACTTGAATAAAGACCAATAGAAAATATATGTTAAAGAAGAAAAAATGAATAAAAAGTAACAGAAACTTATGAATGTGTGGAAGAATAAGTTTAACTATGTACATGTAATAAGAGTGCCAGAAGGAGAGAAGAAAGATAAAGGGGAAGACATATTATTTGATGAAATAATGGTGAAAGCTTCCGTAATGTGATGGAGTACATTAATCTATATATCCCTGAAGTTTAGCAAAACTCAAGTAGAAAAGACACAAAGAGATTCACATCTAGGCAAATCATAGTCAAAGTATAGAAAGGTAAACAGAAAATATAGGAAGTAGAAAGTATGAAACAACGGAACTTGGACATGGAAGCAGCAATATGATTAACAGGTGATTTTTCTCCAGGAATCATGAGACTAAAAAGTATCGGAATTATATATTCACAGTGCTAGAGGAAACAAAACAAAAACAAGCAAGGGTCAAACTATAATTGTATGTTCAGGAAAATAATTCTTCAAAAATAAAGGAAAAATAATGGAATCCCCAGAGAAACAAATACATAAGTTGTTGTTAGCAAACTGCCTTTAAAAAAAATACTATAATCCCAGCACTTGTAGAGATTGAGACATGAGAATCACTTGAGGCCAAGAGTTTAAGACCAGCCTGATCAAAATAGAAAGACCCCATATCTACAAAAATAAAAAATAAATAAATTAGCTGGGCATGGTGGTGTTTGCCTGTAGTCACAGTTACTGGGGAGGCTGAAGTGGAGGATCACTTGAGCCCAGGAGTTCAAGGACGCATTGTGAGTTATGATGGCACCACTGCACTCTGACAGAACAAGCCTTTGTCTCAAAAATAAAAAATACTAAAAGGTGTTTTTCAAACTGAAAGGAACTAATATCAAAGTTAACCATGATTTACAGGAAAAAAAATTAAGAACGCTTCTGCGTAAATATAAAAATCCTTATCAATATATGTCCTCTCATTTATAATCTTAGCTTTTTAAAAGAAATAAGATCATATAAAAATTAATTGTAACTGAATATTTTTATATTTTAACTTACATTAAGGTTTTATAACACATAAAGATTTTTTAAACATAGACACAGAGTATCTGTAATTTACCAGAAATATTAGTACAATTATGAGGTAGATAGTACTAAAATAAAATGCATAGTATAATCTGTATTTCCAGGAACTAAAATTAAGAAGATAACTTTAAAATGGTTAAAATATCAATAGAGAAATCAAAATTATATACAAAACTCATGCTGATTGACTGTACCTATAAATGAAGCTATAATTTTTAATGTACATGGTTTTATTACATAAATGTACATAGTTGGATTAAGAAAGTTCATATTGGCCAGGTGCTGTTGCTCATGCCTGTAATCTTACCCCTTTGGGAGGCTGAGGGAGGAGAATTGATTGACCCCAGGAGTTCAAGACCAGTCTGGGCAATATCAAAAGATGCCATCTCTACACACAAACACACAAAATAGCCAGGCATGGTGGCATGCACCTGTAGTACCAGCTACTCAGGAGGCTGAGGCAGGAGGATCACTTGAGCCCTGGAGTTGGAGGTGGCAGTGAACTATGATTGGGCTACTGCACTTCAGCCTGAGTGATAGAGCAAGACCTTGTCTCAAAAAAATGCAGATTATAAAAAGACTTTTGAGTATAATTTGTTTATTATTAAGCACAGAGTGTGTGCTAATGTTTTCTTAAGAGAAGAAATATTTCAAATAAGCAATCTTGCTAAGACAAGGATGACAGAAGGAATTTGTGCTTTCACTGAATTAAGAAATGTCATCAAAGACCCTAGGCCTAACTTGATCTAAGAATAAGTGAACAGTTCTTTCAAAGGGACATAATACAAATACATCCCATTTTGATCATTAGCTATGTTCAGGCAATATAATTAACTCTGATTATAAAATAATAATAAAAATATCTCCCCCGCCAATAATGAGACTTGTAATAGATTAACTGCTGAATGCGAGAGTTTGAAATACACAGGCCAACAGGTTAGTTGGTCTGAGGAAGAAGGTATATGTCCAGAATAGGGATTAGAGAAACATTTATGTGTCTGTTCACTTTGAAAAAATTAACCTTGATCTAGGGAGCTTTCTTTATCTCGTTAACATCATTTGTGGGCACTTTGAACAAAGGAACACTGTGCAGTTTGAAGCCTTACTGTCACAGGTGCTGACTGTCTGGGGCCAGTGTCATGTGGGTAGTAAAACAAATTTACCAAGACAGTTGTAGGAAAATAAGGCAAACTTATTATAGAAAGTAGAAAAGTATGTTGCATGGGTGCAATAGGCAAGTCAGCAAGAGGGAAGCTGACTGCAAGGAGACAAAGGCTTGCAGGGGACTCTATAGGATGAGGCTTGTGGTATGTGCTGGAGAGGGCTGCACGCAGTACTAATAATGCCAAAGTTATAGTGAGCAAACTTGCATTTTTCTATCAGCCAAGAATCTGGTGATAAGTCAGACCTAGGAAGGTTGTGAGTTACTTGCACAGGAAGGCGAGGTGTTCTGGACCATGAAGAAATATAGACTTAGAGGTTATCTGCTCTTCTTTTTGCTTTCTCCTTCTCCTACTAGCCTGATTTCTTTTCTCTAGTTAGGACTCCACACTTAGATAATATCTAAATCAAAACTCATGTCTAAAGCATGAAAAGTAGAGACAATTTAAACTTTCCTCATGGGGCTATTCCCAAGATCGACACAGCAGATACTGTACTATATAAAAGACCTGACAATCTACGTTATTTTCATGGGCATTGCTCAAATGACTAAATAATATGGCTTGACTCTGTGTCCTTACCCAAATCTCATCTCAAATTATAATCCCCACATGTCGAGAGAGGGACCTGACTGGAGGTTATTGGATCATGGAGTAGATTCCCCCATGCTGTTCTCATGATAGTGAATGAGTTCTCATGAGATGTAACAGTTTAAAGAGGCACTTCCTCACTCTCTTTCTTCTGCCATCATGTCAGATGTGCCTTGCTTTCCCTTCACCTTCCACCATGATTTTAAGTTTGCTGAGGCTTCCCCAGCCATGCAGAACTGTGAGTAAATTAAACCTCTCTTTATAAATTGCCTAATCTCAGGTAGTATCTTTATAGCAGTGTGATAATGGACAATAACAGAGAATTGGTACCAGGGGTGGGTCAATAATACAAAGATATCCTGAAAATGTAGAAGCAAATTTGGAGCTGGGTAATGGGAAAAGTTCAGAACAGTTTGAAGGACTTAGAAGACAGGAAGATGTGGGAAAGTCTGGAACTTCCTAGAGATGTGTTGAATGGTTTTAACCAAAATTCTGATAGTGATATGGAAACTGAATTCCAGAATGAGGTGGCCTCTGGTGGAGATGAGAAACTCATTGGGAACTGGAGCAAAGGTCACTCTTGCTATACTTTAGTAAAGAGACTGACAGAATTTTCCCCCTGCCTTAGATATCTGTGGAACTTTGAACTTGAGAGAGATGATTTAGGGGATCCAGCAGAAGAAACTTCTAAGCAGCAAAGCATTCAGGATATGAGCTGTTTTTTTCCTGAAAGCTTATAGTTATATGCACTTACAAACAGAAGTTTCGAAATTGGAAATTGTGTTTAAAAGGGAAGCAGAGCATAAAAGTTTGGAAATTTTGCAGCCTGACCATGTGGTAGAAAAGAAAAACCCACTTTCTGAGGAGTAATTCAAGCTGACTTCAGAAATTTGCATAAGTAAAGAGAGGCCAAGTGTTAATCCCCAAGACAATGGACAAAGTCACAAGGGCATGCCAGAGATCTTCAAGGTAGGCCCTCCCATCACAGGCCCAGAGGCCTAGGAAGATAAAATGGTATTGTGGGTGCGGCCTTGGGCCCTGCTGGTGTGTGCAGCCTTGAGACTTGGTGCCCTGCATCCCAGCCACTCCATGGCTAAAAGTGGCTAAAGTGCAGCTCAAGCCATTGCTTCAGAGGGTGCAAGCCACAAGCCTTGGTGGCTTCCACATTGTATTTGGCCTGCAGGTGTACAGAATATAAGAGTTAAGTTTTAGAAACCTCTGCCTATGAAAACACCTGGATGTCCAGGCAGAATTTTGCTGCAGGGGCAGAATCTCTGCTAGGGCACTGGGGAAGGGAAATGTGGGGTTAAAGCCCCCATACAGAGTACCCACGGGGGTACTGCCTAGTGGAGCTGTGAGAAGAGGACTACCATTCTCCAGACCCCAGAAAGTTAGATCCACAGACAGCTTGCATCGGGTGCCTGGAAAAGCCACAGGCACTCAATGCCAGCCTGTGAAAGCAGCAGCTAGGGCTGTACCATGCAAAGCCACAGGTGAAGAGCTCCCCAAGGCCATAGGAGTCCACCCTTTGCATCAGCACATCCTGGATGTGAGACATGGAGTCAAAGAGGACATCATTTTGGAGCTTTAAGATTTAGTGACTACCTAGCCAGGTTTTAGACTTACATGGGGTCTATGACCCCTTTGTTTTGGCCAATTTCTCCCATTTGGAATGGAAACATTTACCTAATTCCTGTGCTGCCATTTTTTCTTGGAAGTAACTAACTTGCTTTTGATATACAGGTTCATAGGTGGAAGGGACTTTGTCTCAGATGAAACTTTGGATTATGGACTTTTGAGTTAATGCTGGAATGAATTAAAATTTTGGGAACTGTTGGGAAGGGATGATTAGCTTTGAAATGTGAGAAGGACATGAGATTTGGTAGGGGTCAGGGGTGGAATGATACAGTTTAGCGCTATGTCCTCACCCAAATCTCATCTTGAATTTCAATCCCCATGTGTTGAGGGAGGGACCTTATGGGAGGTGGTTGGATCATGGGGGTGGTCCCCCCATGATCTTCTCATGATAATGAGTGAGTTCTCATGAGAGCTGATGGTTTTACAGTGTGGTACTTCCTTGCTCTCTCCCTCCCGCCACCATGTAAGGTGTGCCTTGCTTTCCCTTCACTTTCCACCATGATGGTAAGTTTCCTGAGACTTCCTCAGTCATGCCTAACTGTGGACCAAACCTATTTTCTTTAAGTTACCCAGTCTCAGGTAGTATCTTTATAGCAGCGTGAGAACAGACTAACACACTAATAGAAATCTACTCTGTGCATGTGAACAGTGTATGTCATAAAGTTAATGTTCTTTAGAAATGGTAGACTGTTGAGGAACTGAATTATACAATAGGGAGAAAGAGACAAATCATTAATCAGTCTTGTTTATTATTATTATTATACTTTAAGTTCTGGGGTACATGTGCAGAACATGCAGGTTTGTTACATAGGTATACACATGCCATGGTGGTTTGCTGCCCCCATCAACCCGTCATCTACATTAGGTATTTCTCCTAATGCTATCCCTTCCCTACCTCCCAACCCCCGACAGGCCCCAGTGTGTGATGTTCCCTTCCCTGTGCCCATGTGTTCTCATTGTTCAACTCCCACTTATGAGTGGGAACATGCAGTGTTTGGTTTTCTGTTCTTGTGTTAGTTTGCTGAGAATGATGGTTTCCAGCTTCATCCATGCCCCTGCAATGAACATGAACTGATCCTTTTTTATGGCTGCATAGTATTCCATGGTGTATATGTGCCACATTTTCTTTATCCAGTCTATCATTGATGGACATTTGTGTTGGTTCCAAGTCTTTGCTATTGTGAACAGTGTAGCAATAAACATAGGTGTGCATGTGTCTTTATAGCAGAATGATTTATAATCCTTTGGGTATATACCCAGTAAAGGGATTGCTGGGTCAAATGGTATTCCCAGTTCTAGATCCTTGAGGAATCGCCACACTGTCTTCCACAATGGTTGAACTAATTTACACTCCCATCAACAGTGTAAAAGTGTTCCTATTTCTCCACATCCTCTCCAGCATCTGTTGTTTCCAGATTTTTTAATGATTGCCATTCTAACAGGCATGAGATGGTGTCTCATTGTGGTTTTGATTTGCATTTCTCTAATGACCAGTGAAGATGAGTTTTTTTTCATATCTTTGGTGGCTGCATAAATGTCTTCTTTTGAGAAGTGTCTGTTCATATCCTTCACACATTTTTTGATGGGGTTGTTTGTTTCTTGTAAATTTGTTTAAGTTCTTTGTATATTCTGGATGTTAGCCCTTTGTCAGATGGACAGATTGCAAAAATTTTCTCCCATTCTGTAGGCTGCCTGTTCACTCTGATGATAGTTCCTTTTGCTGTGCAGAAGCTCTTTAGTTTAATTAGATCCCATTTGTCAATTTTGGCTTTTGTTGCCATTGCTTTTACAAATCAAACCAATTGCTCAGCAATTTGCATAAAGGGAGGAGTTAGCTGAGACAGAGGTTGGACTGCTTTGGTATTCTGGAATATATGTCTGTATCACTTTTCCTATATGTTTTTGAAATAAAATATTATTTCCCCATTTTTTTCACTTCAGATTATACATGTCAATTATCTTAATATAGGAAAACTATGAATCTTTAAGTGAACTATAATTTTACTTTAGATTAATGAGTCTATGTAGAAACAAGGCATTAATTTAAGACACCCAAATCAATATATTTTGCAAGCAGGAAATTTTAATTTGGGGTTAAAAAATCCATAGAACATTTCTTTTTAGGTTATATACTAGTTTATATAGTTAGTTTTATAAAAAAAAAAAGGAAACTCTTGTAACTTTAGCTCATTTCCTCCTTAAAACTAATAATACTGAGAGAAATAGATGGCCTTTCTTGCTATCTATATTGCAACAAGTCGAATATATGCATATGGATATATATATGTGTGTGTGTGTATGTGTGTTTAAAAATGTTTACATGACTGTTCACTTTGAACAATATAAAGAATCATAATATAAATGACCAAAACTACACAAATAAAGTTCCGTTTAAGTAAAAATTAAGAAATAACATAGCTAAATCAGCAGGCTGGAAGTTCTTTTATCAGTGCAAATAAAACTGATGACTCAAAAGATGAAGGCTAAGACAAATATCACAATATGTGAGATACTATTGTATATATAATATTCTATTTACCAATGTTTCTTTCCTTTTCTGTATTTGAGAACTGAAGTGAGGGCTGAAATGTATCCAAATGTAATTATTTGGTATTTACATTTGTCTTACACTTATGACTATTATAGTCTGTTAGTAATAATAATAATAATGAAAACATATTTATTTTTGGCATCAATTATAACAGAGTATAGCCATTTTTCTCATATAATTCACTGTACAACTTTATACTATTTTCATAGCACAGTATTGATTATACATTTAAGAAATTATACTATACTATCCACATTCCTCACTTGGGAGATTATATAATTTCTGCAAAATGATTTTTAAGTGTCTGTGAAGCTACCAAAAAAAAACACCCTCTCTTTTCATTCCCACTTTTGCTTTAAGCAGAACATTCTATTTAAGGAGATATAGAAACATAACCAGAAAGAAAAATTAACAAAAAATTGTTCTTATAGTTCCAGTTGACTTCCACCAGGTGGCAGATATTCAATGGCATTTTTTTATTAACATTTTTTCATTTATAGTCTGTCTAAAGTGACTTAATGAAAAAGATGAATATTTGGGAAGGTTATAAACTATTTTATTTGAAAATGTCTATAAAATGTAGACAAAATTACTAAGTTTAGTAACTTAACTTTACTTTTTCTTTCCAATTTGCAGTGTGGTGGTGAACTCTTCAAAACAAAATTGTAAACATGCCATTTATCTACTTTTGTTTTCAAATTTTGATGCAGTATCATTTTTTACATTTTTATTATCACATTTAAACAGTGATATAATATTTTAGACTTATAACAGAATAAAATTTATTTTTTATATATCTATAGCTAGGTACAATCTTGCTGAAAGTGTTCTAATTGTATTAAATAAAACAAAATTACAATGAAAACATCAACATATATTTATTATTTCTGAAAATATTATAAACCAACTTCACTTTATAAAATTGTAAAGTGAATTATAATCTTTTAAAAAACTGAGGTTTTCTGTGTCATTTTCTAGTCAAATTCTTCTGTCCTCTATACTCCAGAGATAACCATTTTCAAAATTGTTGTGGTTATTATTCCTGTAAATTTACTTTTAGTTTTCCACAAATTTCTATCCCTAAGCAATATTTTGCTTAGTTTCACATTTTGTCTATTGATTTTGCTGTAAAGAATCATTTATAACTTATTTTTTCCCAATATTGAGTTCCTAAGTTTTGTCCATAGCAGCATATATCACTGCCGTTGATTTCCTTACATTAACGTAGAACACTGCCTGAATATTTATCTATTTTATAGTTGATAGATATTTGCAATGTTTTTATTTGCTTGCATTATACAAAGTGTCTATGTGTATCCTTGTTTGTTTCCCTCACTGCATGTGTACAAAATGTCGGAGTCATAGGATATGTATATCTTCAGTTTCTCAAGGTAGTTGAACAGATTTAAGTACCTGTTAGCAGTTTGTTTGTTTCACATCCTAGCCAACACTTGTTTTCACATTTTTAATTGCTGTTGACCTAATCGTTCCAATTTTTTGCTAAGATTGCTAATAAGAATTAGGTTATTTGTCTGCTAATCTTTTAATCTATTTCTACTAGATTATTTGCCTTTTTCTATTTAATTTTTATGTATTTCAGATATTAAAACTTAAGTAAATTACAGGCAATGCAAGGTTTTTTTTCCCAGCTTTTGCCCTTTCCCCCTCTGTGTTTCTAAATATAATAAACATTATTTAGAAGAATGGTTCTATGATAACATATCTTGGATTACCTGGTAATGAGCTGTTTGGAACAGGAGGGCCTTGACTGCAGCTTAGCAGGAGATTCTGTGCTTCGCTTAGCACCAGTGTGCAGGCTTCCACCACTGGCTATAACTGTCTACAGACACAGTTACTTTAGCAACTGGTTTTAACAATTGATTTTGTAAACTATGAACACCTAAGCTCAGATTGCCTAGTTCTCAAGCAGTCTTTTTGATATCAGGCCACTCTCACAGTCACTCATAAAAAGTGAAAGCCGTGGAGATGGGGCTCATGAAGAGATGCTGGTGAGTCCACTCTACTATAGCAGGGTTCTTCTAAGTTAATTCGCTCCTACCCAATATCATATCTGTGCAGCATGTCTAGAAATCAGGAAATTTAGAGACATTAGCAGTATTCATTACAAATACAACATCCTTTTTCCCCACTGGTGTTCACTCTCTTCTCATAATTGAGGTTTTTATATATTCTTGACTCTATTTTAGCCTTCCTCGTTTTCTTTTCCTCGTGTGATGTGCCTACCTATACAAATACTACACTCTTTTGAATTTTAGAGTTACAATATGATTTTATATGACAAGTTACTTTTTCTTTTAATGTTCTTTATTTAATTTTTTAAATTTCATACACTCTTTTAGACAAATTGCTATTCTTCAGTTTTGTTGGCTTTAGAGTTTAGAAACAGGTAACAGGATTTAAAATTTTTAATATAAATCAATGGTAGATAAAGGGAAGCTACTCAATAGGGTCCTCCTGGGTTCAAAGAGCCTGTTATAGCTGCATTCCCAGGGAAGAGGCCTAAACAGCCAATGTAGGATAATGCAAGTTTGGAACTCCATTTACTGGAAAAAGAAATACTGATAGCTGCTGAAATACTGTCTCCTTGTACTGTAATGAATCATAAGATGATTTGACTATAATAATCAGAATATAATAGACTTGAACAATTCTCACGAGGCTGCATATGTTATCTAATCTGTACAGCATGATTTAGAGAAGTTTATAGAAGTTTACCATTTTCTGCCTGCAATTTTCTTTCTTCCAACATCTTCAATTTTGTCAATTTAAAAGTAACAAAATATCCAGAAATGTATATGGTTGTATTTCAAGGAGTAATGATGTGTGAAAAATGGCACATTTCTCTTTATGTAATTATGCAAAACCTTGATAATATTTAAAATATTTTCACCAGTGTTTTTTAGGTGTATTATTTATACTAAGAAGTAATTATTAACATTAATATTATAGTTAATTGTGGTAGTAAGTGAATTTGAGTACTAATTTACATGAACAAAATTTATATACCAATATTTATTAGTTTTTTTAATAAACCCAGTTCTGTAGAAACATCATTTTTACTAATTTAACATTATAACATATTGTACAATAATGTTGTTTTCTAATTTCCCTCAACATTAGTTATCATCTCTATATTTTCAGTTAAGTCTCCTATAACATAAGCAGCTGAAACAGAAAGCTTTTGTTGAAATGTAATTTAATATTTGAGCACAGTGTTTTAAAGGTGTGTGTATTTTTTTAAATGGAGTTGTTTGATATTAACATTGCAATTCTATTGATTGGAAATAGCATTAAAAATTTACCTGTAATAGTCTATTTAGTTAAGTAAGATACAAAGAGTATTAGAAAGTGATAGCTTAGATATGTAGAAAAACATACAGGTTGAGTAATTGATGAAAAATGAAGGTAAAATGTATTTTCAGTGAAATATAATTAAAATTTTAAAACCTATTTTATATCTTCTGAATTAAATATTGTTAAAATATTTATCAATAATAAAAATTAGAAAATCATGTCTTAATTCCCATACATTTCACAAAGAGCAATCACTGATTTTATTTGAAATATTTTTAATGGAATAAGCTTAACATAATGAGAGAATGCATGGATATATGCAAGGAAAAGTGCTTCAGTAAGTTACATTTAAGTGAGAAAGGACTTTTGATATTAAGAATGAAATAGAATTCTTGTCCAGTTTTATATTTTTGAGCTAGTTTGTACTATCAGTTTGAAAAGTGTGTTTGGAAAATGTCTCCAATGTAAGCTTTTATTTCATAACCTTCTCTATTTAGAAGAAGACTATGTTCACAAATATTTGTAGATATTGAGAATCAAAGAAGTAAATGTGTCTATAGGCAATAAGAATTACACTTTTCTAATTTTTTATTGAACCTGAAGTTTCCATTGACTACATTATGTTCTTTACATTTGTCTCCCCAGTGGACTCTACTTTACCTTTAGATCTTAGGGGAAATATATAGATAGATATAGGTATATAGATGTAGATATACACACACACATACACATACCCCACTGCCTATTATCATATCTTTAATATACTATTTATTTGTTTTCAAGTAATAGTGCACTAGCATTTGTTTTGTATGTCATAGTTTATTATTATTTTAGAGTATGTTCTTTCTACACAGTTAACTGAAAGACAGCCTCAAGCAAGTCCTTCAGGAGGTATTCCAGAAGAAGACATTGTTGTACAAGTTAGCTTCTAGTATGTTATTGTTCCTGACCATCTTCTAGTGGGACAAGATATAGAGGTAGAAGACAGTCATATTGATGATCTGACTCTGTATAGGCCTAGGCTAATGTGTGTGTGTGTCTTCATTTTTAATAAAATAACATTTAACAAATAAAGAAAAAAATAATTAAAAATTTTTAAAATAGAAAAGGGTTTATAGAATAAAGATATAATAAAATAATATATTTTTGTATAGATGTACAATATGTGTTTTAAGCTGTGTTATTATAAAAAGGCCAAATTTAAAAAGTCTATGAAGTAAAAAAGTTACAATATAAGATTAATTTGTTATTAAGAAAGAACAATATTTTGTTATAAATTTGGTGTAGCCTAAGTATACAGTGTTTATAAAGTCTACAGTAGTGTGGAGTAATGTCCTAGGTCTTCACATGCACTCACCACTCACTCACTCACTCACTCACCCAGAGCTACTTCCAATTTTGCAAGCTCCATTCATGGTAAGTGCCCTATACAAGTGTACAATTTTTTTTATATTTTATACTGTGTTTTTACTGTACCTTTTCTATGTTTAGATATGCTTAGATACAGAAATTCTTACCATTGTGTTAAAATTGCCTACAGTATCCAGTACAGTAACATGCTGTACAAGTTTGTGGCCTAGAGCAACAGGCCATACTATATAGCCTAAGTTTGTAGTAGGCTGTACCATCTTGATTTCTGTCAGTACACTCTATGATGTTTACACAACAAAAAAATTACCTAATATTGCACTTCTCAGAACATATTCCCATCATTAAGCAACGCATGACTGTATATGTAAATGCTTTTGACTAACGTAAACTAATTGACATATATAGAATATCACACATGCTCAATGAAAGCAAGAATAAACATTCATTTAAAAGGTACATGTTTCTTTTCTCAGAATAGAGTTGTGAGTAATAAGAAAGGGTCTCAATAAATTTAAGAAAGTTAAAATTATATTAAATATATTATTCATCAAAATGGAATTAAATTAGAAAGGAATAACACAAAGGTATCTAGGAAATTTCCAAATATACACAAAATAATCAACATATTCCTAAACAATTTATGTCAAGATAAATTAAAACCTTTCAAACCATATTAAAAATTTGAAAGGAGGAATTAAAATACAAGTTATAACATATTGGAAACTAGTTATAAAACGACAACATATCAAAATTTGTGGGAGTCAGCTAAAGCAGTGCTAAGAGGAAAATTTCTAGCTTTATCTGCTTCTAATTTTTAAAAAGTAGAGCTTTAAAACTTAGTAACTCAAATTGCTCCATTAGGAAGCTATAGAAGAAGAGAAAATTAAATCTGTTAGTGAAATAATAACAATAATAATAATAATAAAATAGAAGTCAAAGAATAGAGAAAACCAAGAGTCAAAGGTCATTTTCTAAAAAAGATTCCTAAAATTGATATGAATAGCAATATTGATCCAGAAAACAATTGCAAATACTCAATAATGAAAAGGAAACATAACTATAGATTCCATAATGTAGGAAAAAATGGACCATTGACTTCAAAGGTGAAACTTTCTAAATTAGTCAAAAAGGAATAAAATATTAGAATACTTTTATATCTGTTAAAAATTGAATTTATTATTGAAACTTTTTACCCCTTCCAAAAAAGAAGAAAGAAATTTCTGACCCATACGACTTCACAGTTGAATTCTATCAAACATTTGAAAGAGGAAATAATACTATGTCACACCAACCCTTACATAAAATAAAAGAAGTAGGAATATTTCCAAACACATTTTGTGACGTGAGCAAAACCCTGATACCAACACTTAATAAGGATAATTCAGGAATAATTTTACATAAATGTGCTCCATGATTAGAAGGAAACAGAGCATTAGCAAAGCAATCCAGTTGAAAACAAATACATCATGGTAATGCACATTTATTCCAAGAACACAAGGTTAGTTTTATTTTTGAAAATTAATCAATATAATTCAGCATTTAAAACAAATGTGGTGGCTACAAGAATGCATCTCTCCGATCTCCAACTACAGAATGTATAACTGATCAAAGACTCCAAGTGCAGTGCTTTTATATTGATTGCTGCACTTGCATCAGGGCCATGCTTTCCACAAGCTGCTCTCTCCATGCAGCAGGGCTACTCATGGAAGCCCCTTCTTGGGGAATGGAGTTCTCCTAGGACATGGTCTGAATGTTATGGAATACCCTATGGCCTTGTGGAACTGTTCTTATAGCTGCATTATAATGTAAGAATGTTCCGCCCAAAGTATCTTCCTTTCATCCCTCCCACTTTTCTTCACTCAGAGTTGAATCTGTAACATAATTTGATGGCCCTCCTAGACTCCCCTGGCTACCTCTTTATATTTTTTCTTATTTTTTTTGAGACAGAATTTCACCCTTGTCACCCAGGCTGGAGTGCAATGACATGATCTCGACTCACTGAAACCTCCTCTTCCCGAGTTCAAGTGATTCCCCTGCCTCAGCCTCCCGAGTAGCTGGGATTACAGGTGTGCACCACCATGCCCGGAAAATTTTTGTATTTTTAGTAGAGATGGGGTTTCACCATATTGGCCAGGCTGGTCTTGAACTACTGACCTCAGGTGATCCACTTGCTTTGGCCTCCCAAAGTGCTAGGATTACAGGTGTGAGCCACCATGCCTGGCCATAAAGTAATTTTTTCTACATGTATTCCACCTTAGCATTTGCTTATTGAAAGATGCCAACCAAAACAAGTGGTACTAGAAGTGGTCTGAGAAAAGAAGTGGCAAGATGAAGGTTTGGTATAGGCTGATTCACTAGCTGACAAGGGCAGAGGACATCATCCTGGTGGGTAGGTGGGGCAGAATGTTATGGCCGTCTTCACACAGGTGATAGTTCACTTGGTAAGAACTTTACCAACCACAAGCAGGGAAAATGTTCTGGTGTTGAGAAAAACATGATGATACAAGTATTTGGAAAGTATGGTGGGTACAATGGCTACAATGTCAGTAGAGTTGGCTGGTTATTTTCAAGTTGTTATTGATATACAGATTTATGAAAAGTCAACGACTGTTATCAAGGGGAAACTCGAAAGGCCTCTGTGATAACTTACAGAAAACCTTTTGTCTCTTGAAGTAGAAGGCAGTTACGGCTGAACATCAGTGAGCTGACAAGCTAATTGTTAGTGTTACAGAGCTCCATAAGTGGTGAATTGCTCAGACAAGATAAGTCAGGCCCTAGTTGGAAACACTTGAGAACCTGAAACACGGAAGAGGGACATCTATATAGATGCTATTGAGGATATTGCCCTGTAATGACAATAGAAAAGACAGATCTCCCCAATGGGCAGAACTGCAATAAGTGAGCCTGGACATCCACTTGGTGAGTAAGAAGTGACCCGAGGTAATCATACATTTAGATGCCTGGGCATTACACAAGACTTGGCTGTCTGTTCATGGACTTGGAAACAAAACAAAACAAAACTGGATGATTAGAGACAAGGTATTCAGGAATAGAGTCATGGGAATGGACATATGGAAGGATGTATGAAGTGTGAAGATTTTTGTACTACGCTTGAAAAATTGAGAACTCATGACTAAATAATGAATTAATTTAAAGTGTATTAATTCATTATTTGGTTATAAGTTCTCAACTTTTTAAGAACAAATCAAATGGTAGAGGCATTGACTAATGAAGTAAACAGGTGGCTCCCTTCCTTCCCCCATTTTCTCTAAAGACATTTTCCCTAAAACAATTCTTGCACATTTAATCCTATCTTGGTCTGCTTCTCTAAGGACTTAGGCCAATAGAGTAGGCAGAAAAATGTCCACCCTTCCACCCAAGGTATCTACTGCTTAATGTTTGGAACCTGTGACTGTTATGTTACATGAAAACAGGTTTTTTGCTGATGTGATTTAGTTAAGCATCTTGAGATAGGGAGATTATCCTGAATTTTTAAGGTGGGTTCTACACGCAATCTCATGTACCTCTATAAGAGGAAGACAAAGGGAGACTTAAACACAGACTGAAGAGAAGGCACTGTGACCACAGAGACAGTGATTGCAGTGATGCCACTACATGGCAGGAATGCTCACAGTTATCAAAGCTGGAAGAGGCAGTGAACTTATTCTTGCTTAGAACATCTAGAGGAGTAGAGCCCAGAGAACACTTTGAATTTGGTCTACTGATACTGATTTCATACTTATGGCCCCCAGAACTGTGACAAAATAAAGTTTTGTTGGTTTGAGCCACTAAATTTATGGTAGTTTGATACAGAATTCATAGGAAGTTAATATAGCCAACAGAAAAAATAAATAAGTTAAAGAAAGAAAATCACAGCACATCCCAATTCAGGCAAAAAAAGAAAACAAACATGAAAAACATCAGCATATAGTCATGATAAAATAAAAAGCTCACAAATACGAGGGAATAAAATGAATTTCTAAATTACATTAAAGACACCAGTAGATAACGTTGACCTTTAATAAGGTCAATATAAATATCAAATTATCATTCTATATGCTTGCAATAAACAAGTAGGGAGTTTTTGAAAACTAACAATACTGAAAAAGAAAGAATGAAAGCCACTGCCCTGAGATCAACTCACTTCCAATCAGTTTGCGAGCTTGGAAGAAAAGTTATGAAACACTTCTGGGTAAGGGCAGGTGATCTTGTCTAATTTCCTCGTAAATATGATGATCAATGCATGCTAACAAGGAGACTAATATTTGTTAGAAGCATGGTCCATATTTATGGTATCTTCTTGTAAGGATGCTCTTGGCCAAGGATTGTTTATTGAAAATAAGCCCAAAAATTGGATTTATGAGATGAAAGTCTCCAGAAATGCCATGTGTATTTGTTTCCTATTATTATGGTAACAAATTACCATAAACTCAGTTGCTTAAAATAACACAAATTTATTACTTTACAAGTCTGGAATGGGTCTCACTAGAATAAAATCAAGGTGTTATCAGGCTGTATTACTTTTTGAGGCTCTAGCACAGTATCTGTTTCCTGCTTGTTAGTTTCCTTGCAGAAGTTAGTTTTTACAGGTATAGAACTGAGGTCTCATCTTACAGTGGGTTGTAAAATTAAGGTTGTTTTTAGCTTCTAAAACCTGCTTCATTTCTGGGCTGGTGTCTCCCTTCTTTCATTTGTAAAGCCAGCAATTGAATAGAGTCTTTCTTGTTTTGCACCTCTCTGACCCACTCTTTTGCCACATAAATTATATTTGGTCCACAATGGTAAATCAGGATCATCTCCCCTTCTCGAGGTTCTTAACCTTAACCACATCTGAAAAGCCTCTTTTCCTGTGTAAGGAATCTATGTTCATAGGTTCTGGGGATTAAGACAGAAACATCATTGAGGGAGAGGCATATAATTCTTCCTAACATATTGGTTTATACAATGAAGCTATTTAATTAAATAAATTGTACCCTTTGTATGAAGCATCAATTTGCATACCTCACTTAGAGACCTTTTTGTCTTCAGACCGGAAAGCACATGACTGATTCAGATAAGAAAAACTCTGGAGCCAGCATTTGTTTCCCAAATCTTGCCTACCTTCGTACACGCCTCTTAACTGTTTGTCTTTGAAATTATTATAAAGCTTTGTCTTGGATAAGACCTCTAATTTGTCAGAGTCTGATTTCTCAATTTCATTATTTTTGTTAGTTGAGATCCCAGAGAGCAGAATTGCCTTTGAGACCCACCTATCACAATGACTAATATGTGTTTTGGTCAGAAAAAGAAAAGCATGAAAAAATATAAGAATTTGAAGCCAGATTGAGTGCCTACACATCCTTGGGAAAAAGTGACAAAATCTTAAATAAATTGTCAGAGACAACTCTTGCAAATTGAATTTGGAGGAAATAGCCTACAAAATGTAGTATATATAAGTATTCATTTTTTGCATATGATTGTAATGTTTTTATATGTTCATATTTAAAAATCCAAGGAACACATAATACTAAAAATGATCAAAAATTTTAAAAATTATATCAAATCCCATCATTCTGTAATCATACTTTTATTTAACACATTTGCAGAGTTAGAAAGGTAGGTAAGTGGTAGGTAGAAAGAAATTACCTAGAACAAAGCTGGATAAAACTATGCATCTTTTTAAAAGCATACTTAATGTAATAATATTATTATAATTGTTTCATGTAATAGGAAAAAAATAGATCAAACAAAAGGAATAACTAATCTTCAGAAGAATGTATCCCAGTTGTAAGAAATGTTTGTTCCTATAATATTCCTTAGGTATGTCTTGATACTCTATTGCAAGAATAAACATATTATTGCATAATTAATCAATGGATACGGTGACCACTACTATCAGTTTCAATTCAACATCTCTATTCCTGAGTTATTCTACTCTATTAAATACATTGTTTGGTAATGAGTTCCCCATTTTTTAAGAACAAATCATGGGATAATATAGTCATTCCTTATTGATTGTTTTAGCGCATATGATATTTTTGAACAATAAGCTAAGGAAGAAAAAATTATCCTCTAACTAGTAATTGCTAAATCTACTACTTTGAGCATCTTTTTTTCCTCTCTTTTTTTTATCGTTTCAGAAAAACACTTCCAAATTACGTTTCTTTCGAAGTTAACTTATTCATAAGATTTTATATGCAAATCTAATTAGTCATTTCCGCAACAATTCCTGTGACATTATAATTTAATTTTTTACTATGTCATCAGATTAAATTAACTTTAAATTTGGTATTTACATATGCAGTTTAAAAGCTTATATGTTTCTGTAATCAGTACTCTTAAGTCTGATGTTTCATTAATGATTATTCTCTGCCACTTTTCTCAATTATATTATGTCCCAATAAAATAAAATCTTAATACGGCCACCTTTCATATCTAAACTTTGCACTATAGCAAATTTGGAGGAAATGAATAACTACATAATACTATGGTTTCAAATTTTCAAATTAAAATGTAGAAAAAGATTACTTCATTGTATTTATTACAAGTAAATACTATATAGTAGCACCAACCACTTTGAAAAATAAGACTAGCTAAAAGGTTAACTTTGAGTATCAGATTTGGAGAGGAAGATATTTAACTTTTTATCATGACATGAAAAGTATTACATAGCGTACACTTTTATTTATAAATTTTATCTCAAATAGTTAATAGAGTAGATTTTTTAAAGTGTCAAATGTTTTCAGGTTTAAACATATAGAAGAACATGGTAAAACCTTGAAAAAAAGTGTTGCAAATATTTATTGATCTGGCAGTTAGAAATTGGAGACACATAGAAAAGAAATTTGTATCATTTATTGGAAAGAATAAAATGCCATCCAAAATGACTTAAGATTTTCATTAATAATTTAAATTGTTTTAAAAGTATTTTAATCTAGATAAAATGTTATTTCTCTCAGTAACATAGTGATTGAAAATTCTTTATAATATATGTAAACTGTTGAAATAATTTTCAAATATTTTGAAGTTAACATCTACATTTTACATTGGAATTTTCAGGGTGTAAACATCCCTTATATTTTTCTACTTGCGTATGCCTATTACATAATTCTCATTTAAACTTTGTATTCTTTTGCTGAAAATAAAATGTGTGGATTTGATATTCTTTGATATGGAACAAAACAAATTTAAAGAAAACACTTTAACACAATTGTCTAAATGAAGAAGATACCACCAAAAATCTTAAGCCTTGATAAATTGTTTCTCTGAATATTAACATAATGATTGCAGAAATCTTGGTATTCAAATATTATATGCAAATATATTTTTATTATAAAATATTATTAAAATATTGAATGTATTATTTCTATTTTATATAAAAGTAGCTCTGCTTCTTTTACTAAAGATTTAATAAGTGGGTCAGGCATGGTGGCTTTACGTCTGTAATCCCAGCACTTTGGGAGGCTGAGGCAAGTGGATCATGAGGTCAAGAGATGGAGACCATTCTGGCCAACATGGTGAAACCCTGTCTCTACTAAAAATGCAAAAATTAGCTGGGAGTGGTGGCACGTGCCTGTAGTCCCAGCTACTCAGGAGGCTGAGGCAGGAGAATTGCTTGAACGTGGGAGGTGGAGATTGCAGTGAGCCGAGTTTGCGCCACTGCACTTCAGTCTGGTGACAGAGTGAGACAATGTCTCAAAAAAAAAAAAAAAATCTAATAAGTGATTTCATAAAAAGATATATTTTTTTCTAACCCGTGATAATTTTCCAACAAGATCATAATCATTTGAAGCATTCTTATTTGGGCCTTAGAAGTATAGCCAATTATATCTATTTAAAATACTATGTTCATTTTCTGGTGTGGCATGTAAGGAGCTTGGACGTCATCACTCTCATCCTCACAATAATTAAAACAGTGAACAAACTGAAAATCAACAACTCGTCTTAGATGCATTAGAGAGTTTAGGTCAGAGGGCTAACCACTTCCCTCCATGTTGACGAGACAGGCTAATAAAGGGAAAACTAGCTTACTGGATCATAAATTTAGGAGTAAAAAAGCCTATTGCTGAAGGTACTACTAGGGTAGACAAAATTAAACTGCATCTTAAAATAAAACTTAAAGCAGATTTCAGAGAGAGAAAAATTATAATGAAGAGATATATTACGTAATAAGTGAATCAATTCTCTAAGAAGATACAATTCTTAATGTGTATGCCCCTGACCACAGAGCATCAAAATACATGAGAAAAACAGAACTGTAAAGAGTAATAGATGAATCTGCAATTATCGTTGAAATCTTTAATATACCTCTATCATTAACTGATTATCTATCGGGAAAATCATCAGTAAGGACATAGTTGAGCTGAAGAGCACCATTAATCAACAGGATCTCATTGACATTTGTAGACCACTTCATCCAATAACAGCAAAATATACATTTTTCTCAATCTCACATAGAACATTTACTGAAATACACCACATTATGGACCACAAAACATATGTTAACCAATATAAAAAGTAAGAATTATACCAAGCATGATTTATACTACAAAGAAATTAAATTAGAGGAATGAATAATAGAAAAATAGCTGAAAAATTCCAAAATATTTAGAAATTGACTAACACACTTCTAAACAACATATGGGTCAAAGAAGAAGTCTTAAAATAAACTAAAACATATTTTAAACTAAGTAAAAATGGTAATATAAATTATCAATATTTGTGCAATGCAGCAAAAGCAGTGCTTAGAGGAATATTTATAACATTGTAACATTGAATGTATTATTAGAGAAAAAAATATTTAAAATAAATAATCTAAGTTTCCAACTTATATTATAATGAATAAGGAGTTCACAAACGTTGCATATTCTTCTTGTTTTATTACTGTACTGAAATAATATAAAAATATAATATTAAACTAGAATACCATAACTATAACATATTATATTAGAGCATTATAATATAATATTCCATTTTTTCCTTATATCCCCAGAAAGAGTATTGTTTTGTCCAGACCTTAATTTTGAGAATTCTGTAAAATTATCTTTTTAATGTATCAGTTTATGTACCTCTTTTCCACAAATTTTATAACATTATTTCATGTTTTGGTTTGCTATAGACTGGTGATTTTAATTATATTTAATTATTTCAATAATAATTTTTATTGCCTCTAAAAAAGTTTGCATATTTAAACTTGACTTTTATCTTATCCTCAGCTCCTCTTAAAAAATCACAAAAAGTATTTCAGAAAGCATTTTAATTGACTGTCATTTGTTAAATATTGTTAAAATTTTTGAAATTATTAGAAAACACATATTTTTCATAACTAAAGATAAGGTACCTACTTACATCTACATACCCCAATATTTCTAATTAAAATAATACAGAATAAGAAGAAAAACACTACGTTAAAACTATACCATAAGCATCTATTGAAGACATACACCGAGAAGTGTAAAACAACTGTAATTTCTTAAAAATTAAAATACCAACTTTTCAATTAAAATTGGCATACAATCAAAAGATGTCACATAAGTTGGTATATTTCAAAATGCAATTAAAATTTCAAAATTAAATATTGTAAGTATTTGTGTACACTTAATTTGTTCATATCCTCCCATACTTTCTATTTGTTTGTTTTAATAAACTTAATCATTAGAGCAGTTTTAAGTTCACAGCAAAATTGTTGGGAAATTACAGAGAATTCTCATGTACCCCCTGTCCCCACTATGTACAACTACCCCACTATCCATGTCCCACACAAGAGTGGAACATTTATTACAACTGACGAACCTACATTGTTACACCATTCTTACCCAAAGTCCATGGTTTACATTGGTGTTCACTTTTGGTACCGTGTATTCTATGGGTCTTGACAAATGTATAATGGCATGCATTAACCATTGTGGTATCTACCCATGGGAATATTATAGCAGAATAATTTCACTGCCCTAAAAATCTTCTGTGCTATGCCTATTCATCCCTCACACCTCCCAACCCCTAGCAACCACTAATCTTTTTGTTATCTCCATAGTTTTGCTTTCTTCAATAAGTAATTTAGTTGGAAATACATAGTATGTAGCCTTTTCAGATTTACATCTTTCATTTAATTATATGTATTTAAGTTTCCTCCATGTCCTTTTATGGTTTGATAACTCGTTTCTTTTTAGTGCTGAATAATATTCCATTGCTTGGATGTACTGCAGTTTATGTATCCATTCACCTATTGAAGGACATCTTTGTTGATTTAAAATTTTGTCAGTTGTGAATAGGGCTGCTGTAAACATTTGCGTGCAGGTTTTTGTGATGACATAATTTTCACCTCTTTTGGGTAAATACTAACAAGAGTGATTTTGGCATCATATGATATCCTATGCTTTTTGGAATATAAATCTCAACATCTCCATGTTTTGGGTGAGAAGCACAGGACAGCCAAAGACAGACTTGGGAGCTGCCTACAAACATGACACTAGTTCCTCAACACCTGCGGCAGTGGCTCTCCACCCTTGCAGAAAAAGTATTAATAGCTGCACTTTGTCAGCCACATGACCCTACAAGGTTGGGGTCCCCAGCACAGCTCTGGCCTCCTGGAGCAGGAAAGGTCCAGCCACCATTCCTTAGCTGACTCTGCTGGGACAGATGGAGGTTGGGGTGCTGTTATCTGAGGATTTATGGGTGCTGCTTTTAAGGTCCGCTGCCCGCCCGAACTCCAACTACTGCCTCCGCAATTAGCCCAGGAGTTGAACATGTAACCCAGCTCAGGACTTTTCCCAGAATGTTGTAATCATGGCCTTTCCTCTGTCCCAAGTTGTAGGGGTCTGAGTCTGGAGGCTGGGACCCCAGACCCTGTGCTTTAAGGGAGGAGGATGACTCATCAAAGAGGAAGAAAAGGAAAGGCAGTCATCTTCAATGTCATCTCCATACCAGCGCATCTGGTCCTTTGGATCTATGTGTCAATAAAGACATCTTTTGTGCTTGAAAAAAATGAATTATTTTCTTGAATTCTAACTCAAAATCTATAAAAGGTAAAATTATTGGTGTTCTATGAAGTAATTTATTGATAATTTTCCATTGCTCCTGAAGAAGTAAATATATATATATATTTCTGCTTCCATAATTCTTAATTTATATGAACATTATTAAAATTATGGTGTTATCTTCCAGAAACTTTGTATTTTTGTTTTTATTAAAATAGCAAATACTGTGAAGCAAAACCTATGTATTTTACTTTTTAACTAAGTTTACCAAAAGCATCTCTATTTTCACTTTCAACTGAATGGACTTTGAAAAGCTTTGCTTTTTTCCCAAAGATTAGGTAAAAAACTCAAACTCTAATTTAAGAGTTGAACCTCAGTGTCTTTCTGTTTGAAGCATCTGTTGATATAAAATTAACTATATATAAATTAACTTTAATTAACTGGTAAGTTCTGCTGTTAATTGAATTAAAACTGTAAAACCCTGTGTCACATTTCCTTCATGCATAAGGAAATTTGCAATTGAAAATTTTTAAAAGTAATTTAGAGTAACAGCTATTTGATCAATGAAAACTGAAGTTCAAAGAGTTCTATATAAATGCACTTTCTGCAGCTGCATTGATTAATGTATCATCTTTGGAAACATTTAAATAGCTAAAACATCTACTTACTCTTCAAGTAGATGTGGATATTTCTTTGGAAATTTTTTGCTTTCTGATTGTCATGTGATCACTGATATCAAATGTCCTCCATGTTTGTTGCCATAAAAACTCAACAAATATTCTGGCATGGTGTATGCTCAACAATTTATTACTTTTTTTTTCCTTTAAATATCAGCTTCATTTATTTACACTCATTCCCACTAAAAGAGTTATAAAAAGAAAAAGTCACACAATAAAATCAGTTATTGCAGATTTTCACTATTTGGTAAAACCAACCACAACAAAATATATGATCTGGAGTAGGATTCCACAGTCTCTATTTTTTTTAGATTTTCTTAGAGTCAACGTATAGGTTCCCACCTTTCCTACTGAATCCCAATTAATTGACTACCTTGAATCTCCGCTTACATTTCAGGCCATAGCACTGCCAAAGCATGGTTAGCTGGTACACCAGGTGACTGGCATAGGCTGCAGCATTATCCCACCACCATCAGATATCTAAAGAAGTTGTTGGATGCAATACCTACTCCCCTTCATAGACCTCAGCATACTAGCCTTGTAAGGGAAGTGTTAGTCACACTGACTTAGAAAAGGACAGACTGAATAAGAAAATTAATACTTTTCATATTAAAATGTCTTCAAGTGAAACTTCTATTCACTTCATATACATTTTACACATTACAAGACTCCGCAAAAATGAAAGATGCCAGAATTACAAACTATAGGCCAACAAAATCATCCCTGGTTTGTTTTACTGCATGAAATTAATATTGATACTCCGCTGCATATTTTAAAATGTGCTACAAATTGTAAATGAGGCTGGATATAAGTATACCAATTGTAAACCAGAACAATACTAGGCAAATCAGGTAATACAATCACCTTCGATGGGCTTGTGTATACGTGTGCTTTTGTCCAATTCAAGACTGTTCAAATTGCCTGTACCACACAGATTGGACAAGCCACTCACTCTAAGTCCTCTACAGCAGTGATTCTCTACTTAACGCAATTCTGCCCTGTAGGCAACAATTGTCAATATCCAGAGACTTGATTCTCAGCACTAGGGGATTGTTACTGGCATCAAGTGGGTAGACACCAAGTTTGCTTCTAAATTTCATGCAATAAACAGGATAGTTCCCCAAAACAAAGTATAATCTTGTCCAATATGTCAATAGTGCTGAGACTGAGAAACTTCACTTCAAATAGATAACAACAGCCTTCTGTATCTAATTTTTCGATTCAAAACGGAACCTAAAATTTTTGAAATTTTGAACTTTCAGAAAATAAAATCACTTCCCCAAACAATGTTCACTATAAAATATAGATATAAGAAAATCACAGAAATATTGAATAATATTTATATTATTATTATTGTATTTCAACTCTAGTTTCCCACGCATCTAGGTCTCTCTTAGTGAGAATTGGTCCATCTAAAATTTCAAAAAGTTAAAAAAATAAATTTGTTTAAAGCATTTGGACTTTGTAAGTATATAATGAAGATAAAGAAAACAGCCTAGGACAGATAGTAAGATGTTATAAATTTAAAATACCTTTCGAAGAACTCGCTTTTAAAAATTACCTCATTAATCCTCACACTATGCCTACAGGGTAGGCGATAATAATTATTGCATCTGTTTTACAGATGAGCAAACTTGGTCACACAGAGGTTAATTACTTACACAAGTTTAATTTGAGAGTCGGTTATAGGACTAGGAATGATATGCCAATCTTATAACTCCATATTACAAAACTATAGATTTTTACTCTATAACAGGTCTAGTCTTAATACTGTATTTTTTTCATTATCACATTAGTAATTAAACTTGACTGTGTATCCTAGAACTAATATGATACCCTAATTTAGTATTTTACTTACTGATCAATTAAATGTATTTTATTGAATGGGAATTAGATACAGAGTATTTTAGAAAGTGCTATTAGAATGATCTTTAGATTAATGATTAGAGGAAGGATCTTGCAGCTCAGGATGGAGTTCTTCTCCAAATTCACCTTGCCTTCTTCAAAGGAAAAGTCTTCATATTCACCAAGGTAGTCCTACATGTAATTTTCATAGATTCAAATCTCTGAAAAGGTTAATGGATGGAATTTATTTTCCTGTTTCTGCATAAGCATAGATATTTGATATATAGTTCTGATTTTTATAATATTTATTATTAATAAATTTCATCTCTTTATAAGTGGAAGTTTAAATAGGAAAATATTGTCTGTCCAATATTGAACACATGGAAGTAATCTATACTTAGGACAATATCTCACACTGAAGAAGTGTATAATACATGCTAATTATTATTGTTATGATTACTACTCCCTAGACCAGGAATCGGATGAAAATTTATTGAGTTAAATTCTGGCTACTAAATTTGCAGCCTCCTCCTGCCACCATCAAAGTGGAATAACTACCCAAGTTATTTCCAGTTGCTTTTGACCCTGATGATCAGATTTTCATTAGCATATTCACAGGAATATTAAACTCATCTTGATCCTTTACTTCCAAAACTGTGTTTACAGAAAGTAAAATTTAAATTATCCAATTAAACTATAAAATCAAAATTAATCTACTTTTTCATAGATTTCTGATTTTAAAATAAAGCTAAATGAAGCAAAAGCAACTTTTACCACTTCTTTTATTTATTTATTTATTTATTTATTTATTTATTTATTTATTTATTTTTGAGACAGGTTCTAACTCTGCCACTCAGGCTGGAGAGTAGTGGAATGATCATCACTCACTACAGGCTTGACCTCCCTTGTTCAAGTGATCCTCCCACCTCAGCCTCCCAAGTATCTGGGACCAGAAGTGTGTGCCATCGTGTTTGGCTAATTTTTGTTTTTTAAATATTTTTGTATAGATTGGATCTCACTATATTGCCCAGGTTGGTCTCAAACTCCTGGCCTCAAGTGATCTGCCTACCTCTGCCTCCCAAAGATCTGGGATTACAGGTGTGAGTCTGTAATTACCACTTCTTTTAAATGATTGACTTAGACATACAGCTTATGTCCTGTTACTATTTCCAAGTAAACCAATCTATCAAAGAAGGCAGAATAGTATATTGGTTACATTTTTAGGTCTTAGAGAAGACTAAAATAACCAACTAAGTATCACAGTAGCTTTTTGACCTCGGACAGTATTTTAACCTATCCTTTTTTATCTGTAAAACAGGGATTATGACAACAATATTAATCATCTCACAGAGTTGTTGTGAGAATTAATTGATTAATCTATCATAATAAACTTAAAATTATGCTTAGCATGAAGTAAACAATCAAGAAATATGAACTAATATAATTTTAGAAAAATGATATTTTCTAATACAAAATACCAGTTTAATTAGTTAAAGTGTCTTACTGTTTCTTCCCCTCCATTGGCATCTTTATGCCATGCAGAGCAGACTTGTTTAAAAGAAAATTAATATTATGGCTATATTGTTTTAGTTTGTTCAATATAATTAGGGAAGAATATTCAATAAAAGGAAGACTGTAATAAGAAACTAGATAGGGTGTCAATAAATTATTCCAGGTGTGAAAAATAAGAAATTAAGATGAGATAATAAAATATTAGTAGCTTAAAAATAGCTTCCAGAGGCAAAGTTCCAGAATGCAAGTATTGCCTCTTTTGGTTTGATCCCTAAAGGTGAAAGCAAATGCCTCCTTGGGACTCAATCTGGAGGGATAATTTCTTTCCTCTCAAATGTGTGGGGTTTTTTTGTGGTTGGAAAAAAACAATATGATAGAAGGTTTTGATAGTAAAGACAGCTTCCTGCTATTTTTATAGAACCATTACTTTTTCTGCTCATTGCTTTGCTAATATGTTTGCAATAACAAATTCCCCAAGAAGTCAGTGTTTGAAACAGCATTTTAATTTAGGCACTTCCCTTGCAAACTATTATGAATACATGTGGCTCACTCAGATTTAACTGTTTAATGAATTCCCCCAAAATGTTAAAGATGCAAACATAAAAAATTTAAAAATAAATAAGTACATGTTCTGCTCCAGTTTGGATGTGAAAATTTGCAAGAGGTTGTGTTCACATTAAAAAACTAACAATCTAAGTATGCCATAAAATTATAGTTTCCTTTAAAATGATGACAAGTTTGAGGACTCAAAGAAACCTAGGTGGAATAAATTCCAGAAAATGAAAAGCTCTTCATATGAGCTTTCATGGGGGAACTTCTACCTATGGTGGAACTACGGGTAGAAGACACAAGGCCTCTGTGACAAAGGAAGATGAAAGCAGCTGAACTTTTCAGAAAAATTCAATATCTGTTCTTGGGCTGGTGTGACAGATTAAAATTCCAAAGAGCCTCAGGCACAAAGTGAATCCAAAGCTCCACTTACCTGCCACATGTTTTCATAGGTGTTTATTAAATGTTCAGTGGTAATACACCAAAAGCTGAGAATGGAGGAGAGTTGAGGTGGTCACTCTGTGTTGAAGAGACTCCATCCATCAAGTGTGTAAACTAAAAATAAAATCTGAGTCACCTCCCTCCCACTGACTGAATGGACCATCTTGTCGGCAATGGAACCCCAGTAAAACCTTAAAACTGAGTTCTTGGCTATGACAGGACGGGAGGTCAGAAACACCTCATTATACACACCCCCCCTACCTTTATGGTTTAGATACAGTTGATCAGCACTAATGTTAAAAAAGAGATCATAAGACTGACAGAACAGACTCTTCGTGGCAACATCAAATTATAAACAGGACCTAAGTCCATGCCAGGCAAGGGTTAAGTCCTGCACCCCTCCACTTAAAGAATGACTATGTTCTACCATCATGTTTTTCTTTTTCTCTAGCAGCTAAACAAGCACTGGCCTGGAGATGAGCAATATTAAAACAATTACATCCAGCTCACAGACGCTAACCGAATCCCTGTTCTACTGGCCATAACTACAGCTTTCATTGGACAAGACACTGATTTCAGTTACTTTCTTCTGATAAAAAGACCACCACCGACCATGGCTCTGGCCTGTTTAGAGAGACTGTGCACTTGTGGGCCTTTGTGTCCTGAAAATACCTTTTGATGTATAGGTCCTGAATGTAATACATTTAAATGTTAAGTCTCCACCCCAAAGTGAACATGAGTCATACATTACATGCTTGTTTGTTCAATACACAAGCATCATGACCACCTTCATGAATAATCCTAGACCTTCCTGTAACCTGTTGAATATTTATGTTTGGCCAATCTGTTTAGCATAAAGCTTCTACCCCAACACCTCCTCCTTCAAAGTGCCTGTCTCTGGTCTCTGCTGGAGGCTGTGCTTCTCCACCTGTGAGATAGCCAACTTGCAGGATATAACCCTTTATAAGAAATAAAGTCTCCTCTTCTTTTCCAAATTGATAAATTGTGGGGCTTTACTTTGTTTAAGTTAACAAGTGCAATGTACCTATTAGAATGAATCTGGACAGAGCAGGAGAGCTGAGAAAAATCAAGAAGAGAAACTCTAGGTTGTCAGGGAAAAAAATTATTGAGGGTGAGGCAACAGTGCTGAAAGAAGGCATTCTAGGAGTTCACAGGCCCCTCTTCTCCCACATTCAAGGGATCCGAAGAGATTTCAAACAGGTGGATTTTCAAACATTAATGAGGCTACGCTGTGACTCCAAAGCCTGGCAAATATTCTGAGGTGTACGAAGAAATCTCCCACCATTCTGCAGACAGATAGTTTGGCTAAGTTCAAGCAGATAGCATCAGTGCTCAGCTTCCCAGGCTGGTAAAGGGAACGTTTTGATTTTACCATAGAAATGTCCAAAGCTAGAGAAAAGACCCCTGTTTTTGTTTAGGATGTAAAAACCTGCAAAGAATTTTGTTCTCAACCTAATAATGTATAAAGCAAAACCAGATAAAATATACAATTATACATTTGCTCGATTCCCTACATTAGAGAACTAGAATTGTAAGGCAATTATCATGGAGCTGGAGTTATACTGTTATCGTGAAAGAAGTTCAATTATCCTAAGAAAGGTCCTCAACTGTTTCCTTCCTTCCTTCCTTCCTTCTTCCTCCCTTCCCTTCCCTTCCCTTCCCTTCCCTTCCCTTCCCTTCCTCTCCCCTCCCCTTCCCTCCCCTTCCCCTCCCCTTCCCTCCCCTTCCCCTCCCCTTCCCTTCCCTTTCTCTTTCTCTTTCTTTCTTCTTACTTGGTCCTTTTATTCTTTGCATCAAAAATTGTTCCTACTTGCAGATCCAGAAACCTCATGCTTGGAGAACTGTATCTACAAAAGCAAGCATGATAAATAGCAATCCCAAATTAGTGGTTCCAGACATGCAGTGCTGACACCTAGGGCTCAGGGTAGAAAAGTAAAGGGGCACTGAGTCGCATGACGGCTCTCAGACGTGTTTCAGTTACTGTTAGGTTAGGAGGACAGATGGGGCTGTTTAAAGGTCTCAAAGGTCAAACGTCCTTGTGACAAACGAAGAACTCCTGGCTGCACTGACACATCCGACTGAGGGTGGGAGCTTCTGAGTGGCAGCTGGCCCTCCCCTTATTTCAGTGACCAGTCGTAGCACCTCCTGCTGGCATCCCACGTTATTGCCTATGGCCTGGGCGAGCACGTCTTTGCCACCACCTTTGGGGTCTTTGAAGCCTGACACTTGTTGCATCCCCTCGCTGGTTTTTAAGTTCCAGTTGGCTGCATTTCGGGGTAATTGACACAAGCATGTGATCTCTTCAGGCTCGTTGTCCCCTTGAAGAGCATGGTAAACTTTTGAGGGAAATCAGTCTGGAAAAGCAAGCTTCAAGGTTCCATTCATGTCTTTGGCCGAAGCACCGCTCTCCATCTCCATGATGAGGAGGGACTGGTTGCGATTGCTGCCAATGAGCTGCTTTGCTTCTCCATCCCTCTCGTTTTGGAAGTATGCTTTGCTAGCCCTATCCAGGTCATTCATGATTTCCTTCAGGAATTTGAGTCTCTCGTAATTCCTCCTTCCTCACACTGAGCGATAACTTCGACTTTTTACCATGTGATTTCCAGCATTTGCACCAAGCCTACATTTATTTTTTATTATTTTCCCTGTTAACGCTGAGCTTTGCCCCTCTTCTGCCATCGACCTTGTGCTACCATCTTTTTGTTCTGCTCATTATATGTGAAAGATTTCTCAAAATACAAACTGTATTTGAGCTTCAAGTCATATGAGTGGTATTTTAAGAATATGCCTGTGAATGGTAGGTCAGTTGGGGAGGGAAAAGGAACAAAGATATAAAATTGGGTTTGTTCCAGGACCCGGAACAGTGCTCTAGAGAAAAAGAGGATATAAATATTTTCGAGCAAACTTTTTCAAAAAACTAGCACAGATATCCACTGTTATTTCATTTATAATATAGATTATAGACATTAGAGCAGTTGATAGAATGATTTGATACATATTTTCCATATTCTGTAAATGAATGATTGTTCTATTTTTACATAGCAGAATATTTTAAATTTTAATTTCTACCATCATATACAACTCAATATTTGAAAATGATCTTTTAAGATCTGAGAAACACACATTTTTATTGTTTAATATCATATTTCTAAGTTATGTATGTTATGAAAGCATAGTTTTTGAAGTTACATAAGCTTTTAATTTTTAGTACCTATTTAGCATAAAGAGAAAGACTAATGAACTCCATAGAGCACTTTTGTGTTCAGATTATTTCACGCATACTGTCATTTGATAAAGATGAAGGACATCTGCATGTGTTACTCATTGTGTATCATAATATCTTAAAACCAAGCATGGTAAAACAACGAACTTTTATTATCTCACACGTTTCAGAAGTCTAGTGATCCAGAAGTGGCTCAGCTCTGTGGTTCTGGCTTAGGGTCTCTCAACAACAGTCAAGCTTTCAGCTGGGGTTGCAGTTATTTGAAGACTTCACTAGGGCTGGACGAGCAACTTCCAAGTTGGTTCACTCTCATGGCTTTTGGGAGAACAGGAGGCCTCAGTTTTTCACTGGCTGTTGGCAAGAGACCTTATTTCCTTGCCACACTGTTCTCTCCACATGTTGCCTGAACGTGTTTATGACATCGTGGTTGGCATTCTCCACAGCCAGTGATCCAAGAAAGCAAGCAGAGAGAGACCAATGCCTTTCATGGCCTAGCCATAGAAATGACCTATAAATATTTCTACCATACTCTATTGGTCACACAGATCAAACCTGATACAGAATGGGAGCAAACTACCGGGGTATATACAACAAGAGGCAGGTATCATTGGGAACCATCTTGGACTCTGGCTACACCCTCATAATGCAGCAAATACCATACAAAAGCTATTTTACCTCATTATTCACATGATTCTATTCTCTCAAATATCAAGAAGATAGCCCTGCTTCTTTTCTACAAAATATTTAGATGTTTTTAATTGATGTTTTGACAATTAATTATGTTCTATTATTTTTGTGCACTGTATAATAATTTTATTATAACAAAACTGTTATTATAACAATAGCATTTTACTATTGTATACTGTATAATAATACAGAATCTCATAACTGCCTTTATATTCTGTATACTGTTTATTTCAATGTGACAATATAGTGCCTTGATAATGTATTTTCCTAAAAAACTGTTGATTATGTTTATGCTATCATAAAAGAATTGTATCTGAACTAACATTTTCCAGATTTAAAATAATTGCATATATTTACTAATACATATCATGAATGTATTTCAACATTTTCTTTTACAACCCATGAAAAAACTAAGTTTTCAGTCTAAGAAAACTCCTACAGTGCTAATCCACATTAATTGATATTAATGTATCCATCAATAATGTCAATAATTAAATTGTGTCAAATTTCAAAATTCTAAAATATTTTTAATATTTACGATAACTAAAACTAATAAAATGAGGCCAGCTGCAGTGGCTAATGCCTGTAATCTCAGCACTTTGGGAAGCCGAGTTCAGGCCACGAGTTTGAGACCAGCCTGAGCAATGTGGCAAGACTCTTTCCACCAAAGGAAAAAAAACAGAAAAATAGCTGGGCATGATGGCACACACCAACTATTCTAGTTACTCAGGAGGCTGAGGCAGAAGGATACCTTGAGCCCAGGAGTTTGAGGGTTCCAGTTAGCTGTGATCACACCACTGTACTCCAGCCTAGGTGACAGAGCCAGACTCTGACTCTATAAATAAATAAATAATAAATTCATTACTTATAAAATGAAACAATGTGTTAAATAATAATGGCACCATTTCCTGACAAGAACGAATAATAAATGTCAATGTAATTAAGTTTATAAGTGAGATTTTTACTTAATTACATAACTTAACAAAAAGATCTTAAAGGACACTAAAAATTTTTGTGAAGTCAGATTAAATTTCTACATTTGAAAACAAATATTCTGTAACACATGATAAATAATTGCTTGTATACTATTTGAAGTCCTCCAAATTGACGCAAGACAATAGTAACATTTAAAAACATTTTACCAGGAAAAAACTTTATAAAGTTTTTATGTAGAAGTTTTTTGAAGTTCCTACTAAGTTAAAGAAGAGCTTCTCATTCTCAGGTTTGTCTTACTGATACAACAAGTATTGCTCATTTGTGAAATTGTGTTGACAACTGATTCATAATCAATTTTAAATGCACAGCAAATAGTAAGCTTGAAAAGATAATTTGTGACTTCATAAGTTGAGGGACTATCTGAAGAGTTTGAAACTCATGGTCTTTTTGATTTTTAATCACTGAAGTAGCAAAACAGATACCAAAGATTCTTGGTGTCTTTGAATATGTTGAGTTATCGACAAAGATTTGCTCCCAATTCCGAGCACGGCTTGGATATCCAACCAGTCATTCACATATGTGAAAAGCCAGATATTAGTTACATGCACCTAGAACCTCACACTAATTTATATGTAAACACAAAATATTATCTACATTATTTTAATATAAATATAAATTCAATCACTGTATATGTGGACAGATGACTGTACTCTATTTTGTTGGGAAAGTTATTAAATATTTTTAACTAGCTAAATCACAGATGGAAGCACTATTCATGGTATTTGAATTAACACAAAAATCACCTTTATTGGTCTGGATTTGTAGAGTTTACATGTAGAGTTAATACACACATGAATGCAACCTCCTAACTACTTTATTATATCATTTATGTAGTACAGTCCAGACATTTACACATTGAAATATAATGTATTTCCCTTTTATTTCTCATTATGTTACAATTAGTGCAGCATAATAATTTTAAAAATATGGCTGTAGTTAAATTATAACCTTATGCATTTCATTTCAAGATAATAAAGGAAACACTAAATAGAGCTTTTATAAAATATAGACATTGGGTCTGATAGGATTGAGAAGCAATTTGAAAGTTGTTTTTATACAATATGGCACTAGCACAAGCTCTTTTCTGGGAAACTTTATATAGAGCAAATAAATGCTACTTTATTAACTTTCTGTCCTGTGAAAAAAGAATATATAAATAGAATTAAAACATTATGAACTGTAGCAAATTGCTATATAAAATTTTTTAGGTTTGCCTACAAGTCTGATTTTTAAAAAGCTATACTGGTAAGAATGTATTAAGTACTTCTAGATGAATTATATATCTGTGAGAACTAATTTTGTACCAAAAACATGATGAGACATACCTTTTGGTTAAAGTAATTTAAATATTTACTTAGACCTTTAGTAAGAATAACTTTAATGCAGGCACCAAAAGGGTACTTTTTAAGTAAGAAAGTTTTAAAAAGAAGACATCAACATGGCTACAGAGTCTCCCTGAATTGTGTTAATTTTGGTTTTGGTAACTCGTCGGGAGCAGAGAATTGAAAATTAAGAAGTACTGGAAGTTGAGATTCAAGTTCTTGGAAAGAAAATAACTTTACTCTTATCCCCATTCTTTTACCAAGTGATTCTATTTTTTATATCAATATAAACTGAATTATGATCAGAATAACTTTAGCTCATTAAAGACTAAGCACAAGTTTAGTTACCAGTTTTATGTACCAAATAAAGAGACCAATGTAATAAATAATCAACAAAATACATTTTTGGATGTTATTTTGGCTTTAGAGTTTGGGGGACATGTTTTTCCACACCCACATAAAAGATAAAATACCCATTTTGCCAGAAGCATAATTTTATTTAAAGTTATTTTTCCTTAATAAGTTATCTCTTCCAGAATCCCTTCTGGAAATGGTCTGAGTCACCTTTCAAAACAAAAGTAAGTTAGAGTTACCTAGAAAAGCTGAACTAGTAATTACAGTCTTTTTAAAGTTCATCTGAGTCATGGTGTCTCAGGGGAAAGGAAGTAATTGTTTTGGGCTTAAAAGTCCTTTTCTAACACTTTCTACACTGAAGGTATTCACAAAATTGTTACTCCAATAAACAAATAGAGAAGAACAAGATAGAATAAACAGCAAATCTAATACTGCATAAAGAAGATTCAATCTGAAATATTCATACATCAGATTATCAACATTTAATTGTGTGTCTGTATGGACTTATGTGCAAATAAATATTTCAATATAAATACCACTAGTAAATTTATGTGAATAATAGAGAATTTTCTTTCACTTTTTATGTTCTCTTATAGGCTCAAACATTTTTCTGCTACATCACATTTTCTATACATTTTCAGAAGGCATGCCACTGACTAATTCATAACACCAATATACTACTTATAAAGTACAAGAACACAAATGAAATTTAATAGTTTGGTTACAGAAGTAAACATTAAATATCTTTGAAAAGCTTACTTCAAAATGTAAATTCATTGTAATTATTTTTTCCAATATTCCAAGGGACATTATACCAGACACAGTTTAGAATAATTACTCAAAGGAAGGATGTAGGGGTCAGTTTTGCCTAATAATACTACTTTATGGAGAGTAATCTAATTTTCATAATTTCACATTATCGAATTTGACAACATACAATTAAAGAGTGCTTTATCATATAAAACCATTGTCATGGTGCTTAGAAAACATAAATTTCTCAGATGTTGGCTAAGTTTTTAGTTCCAATTTATGAAAGCCATACTCTCTTTGCTAGTGACTGATCATTAAAGTAGCCTTTATAATCTGAATTACATATGCATTCGAATTATACAGTTTGATAAATTAGGGAAGAAAATAAAAACAGAATATATATTTGGGTTGAGAGATCTCAAGACCCTCAATAGCCACAAAAATTTGCAAGAAGACTCTAAGGAGAACTGTTATAATCATGAGTATAGTATATTACAATGAAAAGATACATAATAAAGTCAACAAATAAAAAAAAGTATGAGAAAAGTCCTACGATTAACCAGATAAAAGCATTCAGGCACTCTATTTCAGCAGAATCACACAGAAGCACTTGTTTTCCCAACAAAAATGTGTGGCAAATTATGTGAAGTATTGCCACAGAAAAGCTCACATGAGCCTTGGTGTCCAGGGCCGTTATTGGAATTCAGTCAGTTATACATACAGCCACCTGTGTAATTGTCATCAATTACTTAGACTACAGCACCCCACAGCAAAACCAGAAGTGCACCATAAGTCTCAAATTAGTATTAACTATCAGATTGTGTTAGTCTCTTTTTACACTGCTATAAAGAACTACCTGATACCAGGTAATTAAAAAAATAGGTTTAATTGACTCACAGTTCTGCATGGTTGAAGTGACCTCAGGATACTTACAATAATGGCAGAAGGTGAAGGAGAAGCAAGACCTATCCTTCACGGTGGCAGAAGAGAGCGGGCGCAAAGGAGAAGTGCCACACTTTTAAATAATCAGATCTCGTGAGAACTCACTCACTATTATGATAATAGCATGGGGAAAATCTGTCTCCTTGATTCAATCACTTCCTACCAGTTCCCTCTCTCAATACATGGGAATTACAATTCAAGAAAAAATTTAGGTAGGAACACAGAAAAAAACCATATTATTCTATTCCTGGCCCTTCCCAAATCTTATGTGCTTCTGACATTGCAACATCAATTATGCCTTCCCAACAGTCCCCCAAAGTCTTAACTCATGGCATCATGAACTCAAAAGTTCAAGTCCAAAGTTTCATCTGAGACAAGGCAAGTCCCTTCTGCTTATGATCCTATAAAATCAAAAACATGTTAGTCACTTCCAAGACACAATGTGGGTACAGGTATTGGGTAAATGCTCCCATTCTGAAAGGGAGAAATGGGCCAAAAGATAGGGGCTACAGGCCCCATGTAACTCCAAAATCCAGCAAGACAGTCATTAAATCTTAAAGCTCCAAAATAATATCCTTTAACTCTATGCCTGACATCCAGGGCACACTGATGTAACAAGTGGATTCCCATCACCTTGGGAAGGTCTGCCCCTGTGGCCCTGCAAGGTACAGTCCTTGCAGCTGTTTTTACAGGCTGGCATTGACTGCCTGTGGCTTTTTCAGGCACAAAGCGCAAGTTGTCAGTGGATCTAGCATTCTGGCCTTCTTCTCACAGCTCCACCAGGCAATGCCCAAGTGGGGACTCTGTGTGGGGGTTCCAACCCCACATTTCCCCTCCACACTGCCCTAGTAGATGTTCTTCATGACGGCCCTATCTCTGCAGAAGAATTCTGCCTGGGCATCCAGGAATTTCCATAAATCCTCTGAAATCTAGGCAGAGGTTCTCAAACCATAATTCTTGCCTTCTGTGTACCCACAGGCCCAACTCCACGTGGAAGCCACCAAGGCTTGGGGCTTGCACCCTCTGTAACCTTGGCAAGAGCGGTGCCTTGGCCCATTCTAGCCCACAGGGCACCATGTCCTGAGGCTCCACAGAACAGCAGGGCCCTGGGCCTGACCCATGAAACAATTTTTCCCTCCTAGGCCTCTGGGCCTGTGATGAGAGGGGCTGCTGAAAGGTCTCTGAAATGCCCTGGAGACATTTTCCCCATTGTCTTTGTTATTAACATTAGGCTTCTCTTTACTTGTGCAAATTTCTGCAGCTGGCTTGAATTCCTCCCTAGAAAATGTATTTTTCTTATCTACCACATGGTCAGGCTGCAAATTTCCTAAACTTTTATGCCTTGCTTTCCTTTTAAACATAAGTTCCAACTTCAGACCATCTTTTTCTCCATGCGTATGAGTGTACACTTTTAGAAAAAGCCAGGTCCCATCTTGAACACTTTGCTGCTTAGAAATTTCTTCCATCAGACACCCTAAATCATCTTGCTCAATTTCAAAGTTCCACCAGTTTCTTTGCTAAAGCATAGCAAGAGTGATCTTTACTACAGTTCCCAATAAGTTTCTCATCTCCATGGGTGGGAATTTTGTTTCATTTTGTATTTTAATTTAGGATTTTTTTGTAAAGATAAAAGAGACAAACGTGCAAGTGTAAATGGCCTCCTCAAAATTTTTAATAAAATAGGTAATGTAATACTAAAATATTATAAAACTTACATTATTTACTTAATAATTCTATCTACATGTGATGATTTTTCAAAAAGTTTGAAAAAAATGTATTATAGAAGGGATGGGAGAGAAGGTAAAAGGATGGGAGAGAAGGTATGACACAGGTTGGCAAGATCCTCTAATATCTTCTCAGCTAGAAGATCCAAGCTGGAGGCACTAGGTAAACTGTAAAGCAGATACATCACTTGGAATCAATTTCATATGGGATAATTACCAGTATTTGGACCAGGAGCACTGTAGGAGTACAAAATTCAAGTCCAGTACTACTCAGTTATAGCAAGGAGATATCTGACACAGGGTAGAATTACGCCCTTCATGAACAAAGTAGCGTCAGCCTAAATTAAGTTGTATGCTGCCAGAAAGCTGGATATTTTGAGGGTTTTCTCAGCAAAGGTAATTTTACCCAAAAAGGGAAAGATAAGCTTTCAAAGAAAAGATTAATTCTCTACACTTCTCACAGCCCACTCAATTCCCTCAAAATTCACACTCTGACGAAAGACTGTAAAATACCATTACAGGAAATATTTTTTTACCATATCTGCACTATATTAGTGTGTTTTTCCATTGCTACAAAGAAATACCTGAGACTGCGTAATTTATAAGGAAAAGAGGTTTAATTGGCTAACACTTCCACAGGCTGTACAGGAAGCATGACACTGGCATCTGCTTGGCTTCTGGGAAGGCCTCTGGAAACTTACAGTCATAGTGAAAGGTGAAGGGGGAGTAAACACATCACAAGGCCAGAGTAGGATCAAGAGAGAGAGTGAGGGGAGTGCTACACAACTTTTAAACAATCAGATCTCACAAGAACTTACTATCACAAAAACAGCACCAACGGGATGGTGGTAAACCATTTATGAGAAATCCACCCCCATGATGCAATCACTTCCCACCAGGCCCCAGCTCCAATACCAGGGATTAAAATTTCACATGAGATTTGCTGGGGATACAGATCCAAACCATATCATGCACCAAGTCCAGAGTGCTTTAAAAAGTACAATTTTGTAATATTTTAATATCTTCTGTGATAATAATTCTATTTTTTAAACATTTCTTGGCCAATTTAAAACTTTTACTCTTTAGATTATGTTTAGAAAAAAAATTTAAATTCCATTGTACGAAAATCTGTGATTTTCATTAGGGCTGAATTATATTTATAGCTTAAGTAGAAATACAGTTATCATTTTTAAATATTGAATTTTTCCATTGAGAAGCATAGTATGTCTTATCATGTATTAAAAGACAAATTTCTTGGAAGTCAAATTTTTTAAAATGTGAAAAAAATCATGTATTACTACATCCAAATTTTCACCTAAGATCTTCACCTCAGTCTTATAATGACACCCCAGAAGCAGTTACTGAAATTGGAACTCCTTCTTCAATTTCTTCCTATGCCGACATTTCTCATCAGCATACGCTCTTCCATTTTTCAAATAGTTTATACTAATGCAGTTAGTCACCCCTGACTTCTCCCTCTGCACACTACTGCTAGCATCTAAAACCAGGGCCTTTAAATATTCTTGCCATATATTAGGTACTCAATAAATATTTGTTTAAGGAATAAGTGAATGAAAATATCTAAAATTCCTATAGTTTTTCTGCAAAGTTTGTACCAAATTGATCCACTTTATTTCACCTTCAATTGTCTCTATAAAGTTTATTTAGATTTATAATACAGACATTTATCATTCTACTCCTTAAATTACCCCATATCCCTTTTTTATATTGTTACCTTTCTATTTAGTTTGCTAGCTTCTTTAAAAATATATAATGTAGTTATTTGAATCCAAATTTAAAATTCTACATATTGAATATTAATTCTTATGACATTTCTACCCAGTTGTCTGCCCCTCTACCTTCAGGTTTTCATATTAATGTATTTAAAATGTCAATATGTATGCACAAGTATATAAGTAGAGAGATTCTGATTCCATTCCTATTTTTAGCAAAAATACATATACTATTCATCACCGTGAGTAGATTTTAAAAATATTTTTAAAATAAGAAGTCTTCCTGTTTCAAAGGATTCAGACATTCGTCAGATAGTTTATAGAACTAAGAAATTTCCCACTGTATGAACATATAATAATTTATTTAATTCATTTAATTAGTTTGATTACACTATTTTGCCACTATAAGCGAAGTTACAATGAACAGTATTATTTCAAGTACACCTGTATGATAAATTCTCAGAGGCAAAATTTTCTGTATAAAGGGTAGGGAACATTGTTTTATAACTTATTAGGCCTTGTGTGTTACGATATTGCTCTCCATAGATATTGTACAAACTTATGCTCCTACTAACAAAATATGAAATGAACTTTCCCTCAAAGCTTCTTTAAAAAATTGCCACTTTAAAAAAGTTTTACAAAATAATTTAACTGTGTTTTAGTTTGTTTTTAAATTTGTATTCTCTATGTCACCGTTATTTCCTTTGATGAATTATATCTTGTATCACTTCCAATTTCATCTTCATACTTTTGAGGGCATTATTTTTTCTTCAATTTTTACCTAAGTTTTACCAGTTTATGTTTCCTGTACTCATAAACTTTTTATAATTTCTTCCTTGACTTTTTGCACTTCTGCTTTGTGATCTCCCTTTGTAGGAGTGAGCACAAACTTGTGTGTGTGTGTGTGTGTGTGTGTGCATTATTTTATAAAAGAATATATGCTTACAAATTGCCCTGATGAACTTTTTTTCGTTTAAGTAATTCTTTAGCAGTTTGAAAGTTTTGTTTCTCTTTTCTAAATTCCTCTAATAGCAATATTATAATAATGTTCTAACATATACTATATTGTTACTCATTATTGAACATATTGGTTTTTATTAGACTAATTATTTGCAGGGATTTTCTATTCACCACGGAGAGGTTAGAGTCTGAAGCACCCAAGAAAGATTTTTTTGTTTTTTTGAAATAAGCCTTCTCTGTGTTTTCATTGAAACTCCATTTCCTGTATTTCTTGAACAAAGTTGAAACTAGAGAGCTTTTGCTACCAACCCTGGAATTCTTGCTTTTACCAAAATCACTGCAAAATGGAATTCTTTAATTCACAGTGAACACATTAAATTCAGACCATGCATTTTTCTGACTAGAAATCCCTTTCTGCTGAGTTCCCTTGATACTCTCCATTCTCCATGTCTCTTCTCTTCGTCTCCATGGGAGCATATTCTATGTGGTCTCAGCCCAATGAGGTTACATATGCGGTTATTAAAAATAAGAAATATAGTGTTTGCCCCTTAGAATGATTCTTTTACTTGTGGGAAGCATATTTTTACAGTACATTCTTGAATCAGCCACCTCTGGGCCAAATAAAGAACCTCCACACTTATTCTTGCATGACATCTGCAAAGATTCAATTGATTTCAGTAACTTATACTTCAGAACCTGTAAATCATATCTGACTTCCAGTTTCAATGAATATGGAAACTGCAATTTATTTTATTTTTGCTACCTTACATGATTTCCAGGAGAGGAGCAAGATAATCTACATAGCTGCCATGTCATACTAAAAGTTTCTACTACACGTTATATCCTTAAATATTCCTGTAGGCATCTGTCAATCACTTTTGAGGCAAAGGTATTATTAGTCACCACAGGCAGCCATGACAAGTTCATATTTTTAATTGGATTGCTTTCAGTGCTTTTTAGAGTAATATTTCTGTTGTCTCTTAGTAAATATTTTTATTGTGTTTATATAAGCCCTTTCTAGTCTATGTCTTTATTAAAAAGAGCCGTTAAATTTCATCAAATGCATTTTCCACACTTAGTAATAAGAGCATACAGTAACTCTTTTACTTTGTTGATGAAATGGATTACATTGGTATGTTTCTCATATTCTTGGAATAAAACCTAATTGGTCAGAATATATTATAATTTGATACATTATGATATTATAGCCATACCAAAGATTCTGTGAGCGCAGTATTGTGTACAAAACTTGCTTTCCTGTTGTGTCAGTTTGGATCCTCTGAGAAGCAAGACACCATGACAGGTTTTACATTCCTGAGATTTATTTAAGGAAATGGCTGTGAAGGACAAAGGGGAGGGTGTAGAAGTAGGAAGGGAAATCTTTGGACCACAAGGCCGTCCAAACACCTGGGAACACACAGAAAGAATCTCCAGCACACAGCACAGTTCTAGGAAAATCTTAGGGAGGCAGATGAGAGTATTAAGCCATATTTGCTCACTACAGAAGACTTGCTTCCTGAAGGAGAAGCCTGCACTGGTTCCTCTAGCAATGCTCATTTATTACCTAAGAGAATGCTGGACAGGGGGTGGAAGGGGGAAGCATTACCTGCAGGCAGGTAGTGGTGGATCCTGAAGGGCAGTATCTGAGGCTGTGAGTCAACTATGCTCCCTGAAGCAAAAGATATAAGCAATGACTTTCTGTGAGTTTCATACTCATCATTCGCACCATCTTTTATCCACCTTTCCCAAGGCATGTGGCTTTGGGTTTAGCAGTCAGCTGAGCTTAAATAAAGCTCACACACAGCTTTAGTTAGGAGAGCTGACAAGGCTTTTCTTTCCTGTGGGATATGCAAGTGCCTGGACACAAGCATCAGAACATACCAAGGCCACAGAACATGCCTATCCATAGGAATAATTTGATAAGAAGAAATCTGTAAACTCCCATTTGTAAGGTTGACAATAGACCCATGGGATAGAGCTTGTCTTTCATTTGCTCCAAAAGTCCAAGAAAGAGTTAAAATATGGAACTGACTTCTTCAAAACTCATTATAGTGCACTAACAAGGTAATAGGCAGCATGATTGCTGCTATTCCGCCAACCCATGGTGGTGGAAATACCTGCTCTCAGTTAATTGTCAGGCCTATACCACATAATGTAAATCAATTGCCAATACTAAGACTAAGACTAAACATAAAAAAGACACATATAAATAGACATAGCAGGTGGGAAGAAATAGGCCAGAAAAATACACGAGTTAGTAAATTAGAACTGTTAGAAGTGGATGACAAATTCAACAAATCTCAAGAAATTATTAAAAGTGATTCAGCCAGAGTACAATTCTTACTGGAAGTAAAATGTTTTCTTACATTAGTTATTTAAATTATTTTTAGTTGTACCTGCACATATTTGGATTATTCTTAATCTTTGCTTCTATACATGCTATTGGCCTAGCCTTCTTTCATGTATTAGCTTTCTTTTTCATTTAATTTTATAAACTCATATTTATCTAAGTGTAAAAAATACCCATGAAGCACCACATACAAAAAATTCTCACATTTTAATAATAACTCCTAAAAACATATGAAGATCCTCATCTCTCTAACCCAGCTTCTCCTTAACGAAGTTATCATCTTTCTGAATCACACATTCACCATTCTCTTATCTTCTTTTTAAAATAAAACCTTGTTTCTTTTACATAGGTTTCTAAAGTTATTTTTTACTTATTAATTATCTTAACTGAAAATGTTTTCATGCTGTACATAATCTTTGAGAACTATGTTTTTATTAGGAATAGTAAATGTTAGATATAATATTTGCTTCTTAGAGATTCACAATCTTATTAATATGCTGAAAACTGTAATACATAGAAATTCTCTCCTTTTTGTTTTGATTTCAATTCCTCTAATCTTCTTTATCTAAATGCCTCATTTTCTATAACAAGTCCCACAGGAAAGTCCTGGGCAATAATATTAGTATATGCTGTTTTTAAAATTATAGTGGTAAAAACAATAAACATGAAATCTATCCTCTTAACAAATGTTGTATAGCGATCGTTACTACTTTTTGTGTATAACAAAAATATTACAGCCATTCAATAGCAATTCCCCATTTCCCCTCCCTTACAAACTCTGGCAACCACCATTCTACTCATACTCAGAGGAGAATAGTGGTTCTACTTTACGCAGAGTGGAATGGTGGTTGCCAGAGTTTGTAAGGGAAGGGAAATGGGAGTTCTATCTATGAGTCTGACTATCTGGAATATCTCATGTAAATGAAGTTATACAGTATTGTTCTGTAACTGCTGTATTTCATTTAGCATAATGTCCTCCAGTGTCATTAATGTTGATACATATGGCAGGATTTCGTTCCTTTTTAAGTCTAAACAAAAGCCTATTATAGGTACATAACACATTTTCTTTATTCATTTGTCAATGGACATTTAGATTTTTTATTATCTCAGCTATTGTAAATAATGTTGCGATGAACATAGGTGTAAATACATCTCAACATCTTGATTTCAGTTTTTTTGAGAAATATTCCCAGAAGTAGAATTACTGCAGGATTTGGTAACCATTATTTTACTCTCTATTTCTATGTGTTCAACATTTTTAGATTACACATATAAGTGAGTGTATTAGTTGGTCTCACACTGCTGTAAAGAAATACATGAGTCTGGATAATTTATAAAGAAAAGAAGTTTAATTGTCTTATGGTTCTGCAGGCTGTATAGGAAGCCTATTGGCTTCTGCTTATTAGGAGGCCTCAGGAAACTTACAATCATGGCAGAAGGCGAAGGGAAAGTAGGCATGTCTTACATGACCAGAGCAGGAAAAGAGTCGGGAGGTGCTACATACTTTTAAACAACCAGGTCTTACGAGAACTCACTCACTATACAGTAGCAACGGGGTGGTGCTAAACCATTCATGAGAACTCTGCCCCCATGATTCAATCACCTCCTACCTGGCCCTACCTCCAACAATGGGGATTACAATTCAATAAGAGATTTGGGTGGGGACACAGATCCATACCATATCAGTGAGATTATCTGGTAGTTGATTTTCCGTGCCTGGATTATTTCACTTAGCATAATGTCCTCCAGGTTCATTCATATTATTACAAATGACAGAGCTTCATTCTATTTTTAAGGCTGAATAGTATTTCATTGGTGTACATATACCACATTTTTAAATCCATTCATCTGTTGAGAAAAACTTAGCTTGATTCTACATCTTGACTGTTGTGAATAGGGCTGCAGTAAACGTGGGAATGCAGGTATTTATTTATCACATTGATTTCAATTCCTTTGGCTATATACCCAGAAGTGGGATTATGGATCATATGACAGTTCCGTTTTTATTTTTTTGAGGAACCTCCATACCATTTTTCATAGCGGCTATAATTGTTTGCTTTCCCACCAACAATGTACAATAATTCACTTCTTACTTTATCCTCACCAATACTTGCCTTTCATCTTTTTGATAAAAGCCATTCCAAATATGTAAAGTGATATCTCACTGTGGTTTTAATTTGCATTTCTCTAATGATTAGCAATGCTGAGTTTCTTTTCATGTACCTCTTGGCCATTTGTATGTCTTATTTTGAGGAATGTCTGTTCTTGTCCTTTGCCCATTTTTTAATTATTATAATTTTTTTTTTTTTTTTGCTACTGAGTTGTTTGAGTTTCTCACATATATTGGATATTAACCCCTTATCAAATGCATTATTTTCAAATATTTTCTTCCATTATTTGGATTGGCTTTTCACTTTGTTAATTGTTTTCTCTATGCTGTGAAGAAGCTTTTTGGTTTGATACCATTCCATTTTTTTCTTTTTGCTTTTGTTTCTTTTACTTACAGGATCATATCAAACACATTATTGCCCAGACTAATTTTACAGAGATACATCCCTATGTTTTCTTCTGGTAGTTTTACAGTTTCAAGTTTTACTTTTAAGTCTTTAATCCATTTTGAATTGATTTTTGTGTATGGTATTAGATAAGGATCCAATTTTATATGCCTGCATCCAGTTTTCCCAATACCATTCACTGAAGAGATTGTCTCTTCTTCATTGTGTGTACTCAGCACAGTGCATATTTGTTTTTCTGACAAAAATCAATTGACCTTAAATATATGGGTTTGTTTTTGGCTTTCTATCCTGTTCCATTTGTCAAACTATTTGTTTTTCTGTGAATACTATACTATTTTAAATGCGATCATTTTATAATATATTTGAAAATTAGGGAGTGTGATGCCACTGGCTTAGTTCTTTTTGCTCAAGGTTGTTTTGGCTATTTGGGGTCTTTTGTAGTTTCATACAAATTAAAGATTTTTTTTCTATTTCTGTGAAAAATAACATTATAATTTTGATAGGGATTGCATTGAATCTGTAGATACTTTTAAGTAATATGAACATTTTCACAATATTAATTATTTTAATCCATGAACATGGAATATATATTTTTTATTTGTGTCCTCTTCAACTTCTTTTTATCAGTGTTTTATAGGTTATATTATACTGGTCTTTCACCTCCTTGGTTAAATTTACACTTAAGTATTTTAATTTTTTCTTAATTTTGTAAACTGAATTGTTTTCTTCATTTCCTTTTCACATGTTATATAAACTTATAGAAATACTACTGATTTTTGCACACTGATTTTATATCCTGCAACTTTACTGACTTAGTTTATCAGTTCTAACAATTTCTCTCTTTTTTTGTAGTCTTTGGGCTTTTCTATATATAAGATCAGGTTATCAGTAAAATGAGACAATTTTATTTCTTCCTTTCCTGTTAGATACCTTTTATTTTTTAGTCTTGCCTAATTGCTCTGGATAGGACATCCCGTACTATGCTGAAAATAAGTAGTGAAAGTGAGCATCTATGTCTTGTCTCCAATCTTAGAAAAAAAGCTTTGAAATTTCAGAAACTGAGAATGATGTTAACTACCTGTTTGTCACATATGGTCTTCATTGTTTTGAGGTACTTTCCTCATATACCTAATCTGTTGAAGGTTTTTATCACAAAAGAGTGCTGAATTTTATCAAACTCTTTTTCTGAGATGATCATGTCATTTTTATTCTTTATCCTATTAATGCCGGCTTTCACATTTACTGATTTGCATACATTGAACCATCTTTAAATCCCAGGTATAATAGCCCACTTGATCACAGTGAATGATTCTTTTAATGTATTGTTGAATTTGGTTTGCTAATATTTTGTTGAGAATTTTGACATCCATGTTTATCAGGAATATTGGCCTGTAATTTTCTTGTAGTGTTCTTGTCTGGCTTTAGTATCAGGATAATGCTGGCCTTGCAAACCGAGTTTGAAAGTATTTCCTCCACTTTGAATTTTTTGTAACAGTTATAGAAGAATTACTACTAGTTTTTCTTTAAATGTTTGGCAGCATTGTGCAGTGAAGCTGACCATCTTGAACTTTTCTTTTTTGGGAGAATTGTAGTACTGATTCAGTCTCCTTACTCACTATTGATATGTTCAGATTTTCTATTTATTTATGTTTCAGTCTTGGTAGGTTGTGTCTCTAGAAATTCATCCATTTCTTCTAGGTTATCCAATTTGTTTGCATATCAGTGCTCATAGTAGTTTCTTATGATCATTTGTATTTCTGTGGTAACAGTTGTAATGTCTCCTGTTTCATTTCTGACTTTATTAATTTGATGTCTCTCTTTTAGCCTAGTCTACCTAAGGGGTTCTCCATTTTGAGTATGCTTTCAAAAAACCAACTCAGTTTCATTGATATTTTTATTGTTTTTCTAGTCTCCATTTTATTTATTTCTCCTCTAATCTTTTTTTTTTCCTTCTGCTAACATTGGGATCAGTTTTTCTTCTTTCTTTAGTTCTGTGTGGTGTCAGTTTAGATTATTTGAATTTTTTATGATACAGGTGTTTACTGCTATAAATTTTTCTCTTAGGATTGGTTTTGCTGCATTCTATAGGTTTTGGTATGTTCTTTCCTTTTTCATTGGTCTCAAAATACTGTTTTGGTTTCCTTTTTATTTCTGTTTGGATCTAGTGCTTGTTATGAAGTATTTTGTTTAATTTCCACAGATTTATGTATTTACCAAGATTTTTCTTCTTAATGATTTCTAGATTCATATAATTGTGATACAGAATAATACTTAATATGATTTCTATATTCTTAAAGTTTTAAGACTTGTTTTATGTCCTAACTTATTATCTATCCTGATTAACTTTCCATATGTGTTTAAGAAGAATGTGTCTTTTGGTGTTTGGGGATCACATGTTTTATATATGTGTGTTAGGTCCATTTGGTCTAAAGTTAATTCAAGTTCAATGTTTTCCCATTGATTTTCTGTCTAGATGATCCTTTCATTGTTGAAAGTGGGGTATTGAGGTCCCCTACTATTATTGTATTACAGACTTCCCCTTCCTTCAGATTATTTAATAACTGCTTTATGTATTTAGGTGCTTTAATATTCAGTGCATATATTTTTACAAGTGTTATGTCCTTTTGGTGAAGTGACCCCTTTTTCATTATGTAATTACATTTTTTGTCCCTTTTTATATATTTTATTACTTAATGTCCATTTTGTTTGATATCAATACAACTACTCCTGCTTTCTTCTTAACATTTCTTTGTGTGAAATATGTTTTACCATCTTTTAATTTTTTATCTATGTGTCTTTACATATAAAAGATTCATAGTAATGTAAGTATTTTGTAGACACCATATGGTTAGATCTTGGGTTTTTTTTGTTTATTTGATTGTTTTGTTTTTTAATCCAGTCTGCCACTCTGTGCCTTTTGATTGTAAAATTCAAACTCTTTTCATTCAAAATAATTAGTGATAGGTAAAAACTTGCTACTGATATTTTAAAAATTGTTTTTCTGGTTGTTTTGCAGGTTCTTGGTTTCTTTCTTCCTCTCTTGTTGTCTTCCTTGGTGAATTGATGGTTTTCGGTTGTGGTATGCCTTGAACTCTTTCTTTTTGTATTTTGTGCAACTCTACAGGATCTTGCTTTCTGATTACTATGAGGCTTACATTAAACATTTTATTTTTATAACAGGCTACTTTGAGCTGACAATAACTTTCTTTACACATACAGAAACTCTACACTTTTGCTTCCTCCCCTGACGCTTTATGATTTTTGATACGAAAATTTAAATTTGGAGGGAAATTTGTGTCTCTTAACAATTTATTGTAGCTACAATTGTTTTTAACCCTTATGGTAGAGATAAACTTGCTTTACATACTGAGCTTACAAATATTAAAAAATTCTGAATATGTCTACATATTACTTAGGTCATTTGACTTTTTATTTGTCAATTTTTTTTTGTTTTTAATTAGCAGTCTTGTGTTTCAGCTTATAGAACTCCCTTAACAAATCCTATATGTCAGGCCTGGTTGTGAAGAACTCCTTTAACATTTACTTGTTTTAGAAACTTTTTATTCCTTCCTCATTTCTGAAGAACAGCTTTCCAGTGTAAAGTATTCTTGATTGGCAGTTTTTCCATTCAGTACTTTGAATATATCGTCTCACTCTGTTTTGGCTTGCAGAGTTTCTGCTGAGAAATACGTTAAAAGCTGACTGGGGATGCCTTGAATGTGATATGTTTCTTACATTTCACTGCTTTTAGTAGTCTTTCTTTATTTTTTATTTTTGATAATTTGATTATTATGTATATTGGTAAATTTTTTGTGGGGGTACATTTTGTGGGAGCTTGCTAAGCTTCCTGCACCTGGGTATTGTCATCTTTCCCCAAATTTAGGAAATTTTTAGTCATTATTTTCTTAAATATACTTTCTGATTTGTTTTCTCTCTCTTTTCCTTTTATAACTCCTATTATGCAAAGACAAATTTGTTTGGTGGCATTCCATGATTTCCATAGGTCTTTATTATTTTTTAATCTTTTTTCTTTTTGCTCTTCTTAATGGATAATTACAAATGTCCTCTTTTCAAGCTCACTGAATCTTTCTTCTGCTTGTTCAAGGCTGTTGTCAAAGATTCCTAATAAATTTTTTATTTCAGTTATTGTACCTTTTATATCTAGGGATTTCATTTTTTTAATTGTTTCTATTTCTTTATCAAATTTCTCATTTTGTTCACAAATTCTCAAATTTCATTTAATTTGCTGTCTTTATTTTTTGGACTTCCCTGAACTTCTTTAAGATGATTATTCTGATTTTTTTTTTGTTATTTATTTCACAGATTTCTGTTTCTTCTAGGTCAATTATTGGAGCTTTATTAGTTTCTTTTGATGGTCTCATATTTTCTTGAATTTTAATAATTCTTGTGTTCTTTCATTGGTGCCTAATTTGAGAACATATATACTTCTTCCAACAGTTGTTGGAAAGTGTTTTAATTTTTTGAGAAAATTTCATCCTGTTTTCCATCGTGACTGTGTAACTGGGGGCCTCAACTTAAAAAGCATATATTAATCACGCACTTTCATATTCTTCCTTCTCACTCCTTTCACTCCGTCATTTCTTCCCTCTCTAGACATTCCCTCCAGGAATGCATCCTTATCTAATTTTGCTCGTGCTTAAGGAATTCCAGAGACTGATCTTGAGGCAAACCAGGCACACAGCCCAGATTCAGGAATTTTCCTGCGTAGAGGGAGTCATGAACAATTAGTCTACCACCAACAGGCCAAAGTCAAGATAACACCAACCGTATATCTGAATAAACAATTACCCAAGGTAGCCACTGAAACAAAGACAGAGACCCTGCACTCTGCACCACTCCTGCATATAAATTAAAAAATGTAAGGTGGTTTTTGTGAATATAGTCCACCATCTTCTCATTTTTCTGGCTCTCCAATTAAACCTGCTTTTCCTTCCAATAGTATTCATCCTTTGTGTGAGTAGCCAAAGCTGGGTTCAGTTACAGCTGTACCATTTATATTCACACCAACAACGTACAAGTGTTCCAATTTCTCCACATAATTGCTGCTTTAGTAAGGCTTCTTCTTCCTCTTTTATTTTCAGGTTTTCTACGGAAACATTAATCTATAACTTACTACCTTTCCCTTAATTCAAGCAGAAAAATTTCACTTATTTCAGAGAAAAAATAAATTTATTAAATGTACATTTTGAAATGCCAGTATTATCTTAATTATTCTCCTTTTCTTCTCACTTATTATTAGAGGAGGAGAGTTGTTTTTAGTAAATAATATTACCCTTTATTTTTCTTTTCTAGTGTGGATAACATCTTTTTTTCATTACATCAGGGACCATACTGTAATTGATCCATGCCTTACCATAACTTTACTTCTCTTTACTGGTTAAGACACAGTGACATTAAAATACTTTCAGTTACCATACATCTTAAAGACTCTTTTTCAGCTACATTATTTTTTAGCCAGTCAACAAATATTTATTGAGTACTATGTGTTGTTCAATGGACATATATGTAAATAAAAAAGAGATGCTTCTTGTTCTCATAATTTACCACATCATGGAAGAAAATATACACCAAAACTTTTTAAAATTTGGAAATTGCATTGTACAAAATGATAATAAAGAGAAATTTATTGTGTTCTAGTAATCTATTCTGAGAAAAATTATTGTTCTTCATGTACAGATAGTTTTCTCTGAGTAAGTACATTAACTAAAAGTGTTAATTGTTAATTTAACTGTAAGTGTTAGAATGCTGAATGGATTCTTCCGCTCCACTACTTCAAACTTGTGGAAGAGCATTGTTGTTAAGTGCAGACTTCAAGAATGAAAGAAGAATATGTGTTGAAAGGAAACCTTGGAATTCAAAAATAAGATTCTTTGCGTTTTCACCACTGTGCAACCCTTGTCTTCAAGTCTCCAGTCATTACCAACATTAAGGTGAAGCACCTTGCTACCAGGAAGCTCACAGTTGGCTTGTGCTAGAGTTCTTATAAGGAGCCGATGTGCAGGCATATTCTAGCTACATGTACAGCCTTAATTTTTAATCTTCCTGCTCTCTACCAAAGCAGAATTCTCCAAAATAAGATGCAAGCATAAATTCAGTTTTTATTTTAAAACAATGCTGACAGGCTGATACATCCTATTCTAAAACAACTCACAGACCTATAGTTGTAGAACATTATTTTAGTTTGGCTTGAAACATGATGAGGAAGATAATCAAGATGTTGCAAACACAAACTAATTTTTACACTAGAAGCCTGTGTAATATGCCTGTGGCACAGATGGAAGATGCAGAAGATGAAGACACTGAACGTATTGTGGTGGAAGTTGAGAAAGAGGGAAAGAAGCAACTGTTAAAAGAAAAGTGATTCTTCATTTCTTGGAGGCTTAGCTAAAAAATGTAGTGATTCACTTAGAGCTGCTGCAGTCAACATTTAGCATTCGATGAAAGTTGTTAAAAATGAACTATTTCACTTAAGTAGTAATTGTACAAATAGAAGCCAAACACTCTAGAAATAGTTAATACTAAAGAAAACCACTTGGTTCTATCCAGCTGGATTTGGAAAGAGACATTCTATAATCTGTGCAATATATGAGTCTAGAGAAGATAAGTGTAAATGGAAATAAAATGGTTAGAAGGCAATTTCCAAGGAAATGCAAGGTTGAAAAGAATAATGATGTGAAGGAAAAGGCCACATAACTGTGTTCATCATTGTTAACTATTCTAAGAATGTTAACATGCTCAAATACATGACTTAGAAACATTAGTAACTTATTCCAAAACTTTCGAAAGATATCAAATTTCTAAGATGTTTCCAAGCTTACATATTTTATAATACAATTTCTCTTTGAATCCATTGAGTTATTTCTCAAATAAAGTGTTGAGAAAAAAACAGATAAAATGAGGTTAGAGTCATATAATTCTAATCCACACTTTTCTTATGGGATAGAAATTAAAAATAGCATAGAGGGGGCAGGTAGATTGACAGCAAAGAAAGAATGTCGCTATGATAATCACTAAGCAGCAGAAATATAAAGCAGAACACTCTTTCAAACTACTTTTGTGTTCCTGGAACTTCTGAGGGTGGAAAGATGCTATATGTTCCTTTGAGTATTAAAAGGGTTGATGATTAGCAATTGGAATACATTTTTCAATGAGAATCATGTCTTACGAGTCATACTCTACTATACAGAGGATGACATTTGAAAGATGACAATGACTGTTGATAAAGAAGTTCAAGGTACCAAAGATGAAGTGGAAGAAGTAGGTGTGGAAGAGGATGATTATGTAGCAGAACATAATGAATAATGTCAATATCTGGCAGGCTGTGAGCTGCAATGACTTAGATTGTATATATTATAGATAATAACCCACAGGACAAAACTCTAGAAATAAATATTAATTATTCACAGCCTTACATTGTTTAATTTGCTAAGTTTTGATATAGCATAGTGTATGTTTTCAAGATCAGTTTATTGTATTTAGAATTCTATCTTAAAATTTTATATGAGATATATAGAATGCAGTGAATTATCTATTCATTTCTTACAATGGACTTCTGTGAAGTACTTTGAGTTCTTATGAAAAACTGGGTCTTATGAAGTACTTTCTTTATCTAGTAGCTATGAAATATATCAGAACTGTAACTGAGTCACGCAGGTATTTTGACATTTTTTCAAAAGGGCAACTAAGGTTTATTTTCAACTCTGCTTAAATGATGATTCTTTAGTCACTGTGTAGTAGAAATGTTATCTTTTATTATATTAACTAGAAATGTTTCTAAACTTTGACCTTCATATGATAGAAAAGTTAAAAATAAACCCCAGACTTGTAACTGATGCTAAAATTATAATTTCTCTCATTGATTTTCGTATTATGTGTAACAGTTGTATTTTAAAAAGTCGTAAATATTACCATAATTTACGTCTAGATATTAATAAAATCTTAACTTCATCTGAAATGGAAACTTCTGAATTTAGAGCATATACATCTCTAGAAATTAGTGGTGTCACACAGGGCCTTTGCTCACGTTCACATATGCATTTGGCTTTCTTCCTTTGTTTAGAGTGATTATTATTAACACTCCATGTGCATTTTTACACTCTTCCGGTCACTTCTATAAAGTGGTACAATATCCAAGCTCTACCCCAAATAACTAGAATCAGAATCTCTGGGCATGGAGCCCACACATTTTTGCTGGTTTCTACTATTTCTAGTGGTGATTCTAATGCCTGGAGGAAGCTGAAAACTATGGAGGTAAAGTAGTGACATGCATGAATTCTTAAAAGGAAGAAAGTATCTTCTTTGGAATTTATATTTGAAATCAAGTCTTCCATTTGTTTTTCTTCTGTTTAATATCCTCATTTGTGAATAGACCTACTAAAATATTTTGAACAATATGTGTGAATTAATCTTGTAGCCATCACAAGATTATATGGTAAACTTTTATTTTAAAATAATAAAGCAATTTTTAAGTTTCTTTTAAGAATTAAGCTTTTAGTATAGTATTTATTTATTAAAATAGTAGCTTTCCAGAGTGATAGAGCATTAGCCAAAGTAGCAATTTTTTTCTCAGTTGAAGTAAAAATATCATCTTAAAACTAGGTTTATGAAACATTTACTGAATTTCAAATAATAAATTCTACATAGTTTAAAAACATATCTTGTTCCTTTATTTCAAGATTTAGTTTAATTTAATTACCTTAAAACATTGCAAAATATTTCATAGCAATAATTCCCTACATGTCACTTTATTAATGAGAAAAAATTTGGGGTTTTCCTTAATTTAATGGAGCATTTTATTATATTTAAAAAGGGCTCTGTAGAAGTAAGATCTCCTATTGGATAAAACAAATCTAAAAAGTAGTAGAAACCTGTCAATAATGCCCAAGAGTCCAATAAAATGTTTGATTTCTTTCATGGTATGTTATGCTTCATCAGATTTCCTAATCTAAGCTGCAGTTCACATTGACATTCTGACACAGTTCACTGATAAGTAATTTCTCTTCTAGCTGTGGCATAACAACCTCAAATTCAGGTTATTTTGGGAACGGGGATTTGTTTTGCATAAATCATATTTTAAAAATAATTTCCAAATGAGATTAATTGATGATAGGAAAATTATTCTTCAAAGAGATACATAACTGGGCTTTGAGTGTTTTTCTAGACTTAAAGACACAATTGTCTTTTGGTGGTTAGATATTTCTCTGAGGAGGAAAAAAAAGATGACATCAGAAGAAAAATAAAATGCTTCCTACATTTGCTTTAATACCTCTTTGAAATGATATTAAGAAAGAGAATGACAAGTTACGTTTTCACTAAGTTTTTTAGTTGTTTCTTAGATTACTTGTATTTCTTTTCAATTAGGCTGAATGGTTGAGCTCAGTCAGATATGAGTAGTTCTGTAGTTTGAAGGACATTAACACTGAAGTGGAGCAGGGTGTAGCAACTTAAAGAAGATTAGTACAATGCTTGTTGCTAGGAAGAGGGATTTTCTTTTTATCTGGTTTTCATATGTTTTTCAGTAGAGAAATGTGTCTGTGATTTGGTTATGACTGTCACAGCAAGAAAATGTAATTATTTAAATATCGAATAACTATGGAGTCCCTAAAGTATTGATTGGCTTTAAAATGATATTCTTATATTTTTTGAGTTTTTCATTAAATAGAAAATATTGTTTAGAGTGAAGATTCAAATGTTTTCAAAAGTATGCAAAATTCTAAAACAATGAGAAAACAGCAAATAATTTTGATTATTGTTTTCTCTTTAATGTGTGACTATTTCTAATGTGAATCAACTATATTGATCAATGCTCCTGTAAATACATGTTACTTAGGTAACTTATAAAATTATAATTCAAGTTTCTAAATTTCTGCCACAGACCAAATAGTTGCCTTTAAAATATTATAACTTTTTAAATATATAAATTTATACAAATACTGCTGCTGCTAAGAGTTAAACAGCCTCAGTGTGGCTAAGATTGAATATTTTATTTAAAGACTATTTAGTAGATATCTTGACATTTCAGTTTAAGAGGGCTCCCCGTAACCCCTAGTGGGAGCCCCTCTCTAATGGAGTGGAATCAACATAGTGAATAAATATTAGCACATCAAGTAAAGTAGATGATCAAGTAGATCATTTAAGGGGGCACACTGGAAATCATCAGAGAAGGGATAGGAATTACAGAAGGCGGAGGAGAGCAATGCCAGGCAGCCAGCTGAGCTGGGACCCACACGGAACCGGGAGAAGCTTCCTGATGTGGAGAACAGATGAGTAAGTAAGAAAACCCTGGGGTTCCACACTTCTGCAATGAACTTGTGTAATCCTATCCATGGGAGAGTCATTTTGATCCCCCGCCTCGCCCCCCACCAAACTGGGTCTCCAGTCTTATACATGGAGCTGCCTAGAGACTGTGCAGAGTCTCTGCTCAAGCCCACATGGATTCCCATAGACTTTTGATACCTGAGCAGCCTGGTGCCAACTGCTGCCTGCCTGTCAGGGAGGAAGCCGGCAGGCTGGGCACTCTCACACACCCCAAAGACAGATACTGCAGCTGCAGTATGGAGGAATGGGCAGACCATGCACCATTACAACCATCAGCCTCAGCTGCTCCCTGCTAAACAGAGCCTCCCTTCTTCAGTGTTGGGCCTGCTGCACAGCTGGGCTGCCCCAACTTGTCCATTTTGTCTGTGGCCCAGTGTGTTTCTGAAAGCCCTGTCCCCAGAGACTGATGACATGCCTGTTGATTCCTGCAATAGTCACAGCCACCACTACCACCACCCTTGCAACTCCTGGAACTAGGAGATAGGAAACTGGGCACCTTCACATATCCCCCAAAGCAAAATCCACTGCCACTCCTTTGGGAGGGAAGTGCAAGTGGACCACACATTGTATAGCTGCCAGCCTCCATTGCACCAACTGAGGGGGTCCGCCTCATTCAGTGAAAGGCAAGCAACACAGCTGCTCTTCTCCCACTCGACCATTTCAGCTGCCACCCAGAACCCTTCTGAGAGCCTACCCCCTGCAGGCCTGTGACTAACATTAGGGCTCTCACTGCCTTTGTGTTCTGTAACCCCCTGAGCTCTGCCACTGCCTGAGCATTCTGCAGACCCTTCTGAGAGACCAGCCTCCACAGGCTGGTGATTGGCTGGGGTTCCCACTGTCAGAGCATTCTGCCTGCCATACCTGAGAGTTTGGCAGTGATCTAGAAACCAGCCCATGTCTCCCTATCATAGTCAGCACCTGAATTCTGGGAACACAAGAACAAGTTCACTGGACCAGTCCCAGTCCAGTTCACTCAAGTCTTGTACACACTCTCGTGGGGCATCTCGGGGACTGGGGATTGGAGGTTTGCCCAGCCCAGTCCACTATCACTGTCACTTACCCACTCCTCCCAGGGTCTCAGCTCCAGCCAGCACAACCAGCTGACATCACTACAGCTGATATCCACTTGCATGTACCAAAAGGAGGAGGCCCTACCCTTCTATACACAAAGCAGCATTATTGTCACATTAGAGAGCAGGAGAGCCACAAAACTGTCTCTATTGGGCTGAGTGAGGAGGTTCCAACCAAAATTACTCCTGCAGAGAACTGTGGGACAGGTGTCTTTTGTGGCTGTCAGCTACACTGTGGCCTAGAGATAAATGACAGTGTACATTTGAACTGAGAGCCACGACCCCTGGAGAAGGAGTATGACAGGAAAACAGATCACTTTCCTGCCTATCTAAGACATGGAGCTAGTGCAGCCTCCTCACATCCCACAGAGACCTTGGTGCATTACACCAGGAGTTCCCCCAGACACCTCTGTTAAGGTGGTGCCCATGATCATCATTGTGGTATTCATAGGTAACCCAGGAGGTCCAGCTTTGCCCAGCTATTTTCTACCCCCTATCCTGCTGAACAGGAATTTCCAGGCACCAGGCATTCCACTGTCCAGCCCATCACCTGAAACAACAGAGAGCACTTCACAGAAAAACCAGATCAAGCACATACCTATATGCTTTTGCCACAGCTGGTTTTACGCACAAGTGCTACCTACTGGCTTGCAGGTTGAACTGCATGACCCAATGTAAAATCTGACAACAGAACTGCACATGGCTATAAAAGCAGAGCCAAAATTCCTACCCAAAATACTCTACAGTCACACCCTCAAGAGGGAAAAAAAATCACATCCAAATGAAAGTAAATTCAATAAAAAGAAGTGACAGCTTGTACAGATGAGAAGGAGCCAGCAAAACATCTCCAGCACCAAGAAGAAACAGAATGTTGTGACACCCCCAAAGGGCCACATTTGTTCTCTAGCAATGGATACTAACCAAAATGAAAACTTTGAAATGACAGATAAATGATTCAAAATATGGATTGTTAGGAAACTCAATGAGATCCAAGAGAAAGCTTAAAACAAACACAAACCAGAAAAACAACTCAGGAGATGAAAGAAAAGATATAAATATTAAACAAAAAACAATAACAACAACAACAAACAAAACAGAACTTCTAGAAAGAATTTCAAAACACAGTTAAAAGTTGTGACCGGACCAAGCAGAAGAAAGGATTTCAAAGCTTGAAGAATGGTCTTTTGGATTAATTCAGTCAGATAAAAATTTTCAAATGAGTTTTTAAAAATTAACAAAGCTTTTGAAAAATATGGGAATATGTAAAGTGACCAGACTTATGACTTACAGACATTCCCAAGAGAGAAAAAGAAAACGTAAGACATTTGGATATGTCCTCCAGGACATATAAAACATGCAGGTTCCTACAAAGGACATGAACTCATCCTTTTTTATGGCTGCATAGTATTCCATGGTGTATATGTGCCACATAAACCATCATTCTCAGCAAACTATCTCAAGGACAAAAAACCAAACACTGCATGTTCTCACTCATAGGTGGGAATTGAACAATGAGAACACATGGACACAGGAAGGGGAACATCACGCACTGGGGCCTGTTGTGGGGTGGGGGGAGAGGGGAGGGATAGCATTAGGAGATATACCTAATGTAAATGACAAGTTAATGGGTGCAGCACACCAACATGGCACATGTATACATATGTAACAAACCTGCACGTTGTGCATATGTACCCTAAAACTTAGAGTATAATAAAAAAACAAAACAAAAGAAAACATGCAGGTTCTTTTACAGCATGCTCAAGATTAGAATCAAAAGCTAAATGAAAACATAAACAAAAACAATTGAGGTTTCTAAATCCTTTTTACTTCTGCCTTAAATTTTATTTACACAATTCACAACATTTTCTATCAAACAGTTGAAGCAGTAAAAAAGATGTAAACATCGCAAAAGAATTGCATTTTACCTGCCACGGATTCAACTGTGCTCCCTAAAAGCATATGCCGAAGTCATAACCTCCAGGTCTTTGGGATGTGGCCTTATTTGGAAACAGGATCATTGAAGATATAATTAGTTAAGATGAGGCCATACTGGGGTAGGGTGGGCTTCATCTACTATGACTGGTGTCCTCATAAGAAGAGGAAAATGCCATGTGATGATACAGATGCCAAAGGAGAATGCTATGTGATGACAGAGGCAGATTGAAGTGCTGTAGCTGCAAACCAAGAATATTGAGAACTGGCAACTACCATCATGAGCTAGGAGGAGGCAAAAAAGGACCCCTCCCATTCAGTTTTCAGGGGGAGCATGGCTGGCCCTGCCAAAATCCTGACTGCAGACTTTAGCTTTCAGAAACGTGAGAAAATAAATTTCTGTTGTTTATTTAGCAATTCATTTTGCTGTACTTTATTACAGCAGCAGTAGGAAACTGATATAGCGCCTTTGCATAAAAGTTTCATGAAATGAGGAAATAATTATTATATTAAAATACATTACAAAGAAATTAGCAATAGCTAATTAAAATTAACATTAATTATATTTTTATTTTCTCAAACAAAGAAAAAGGGATCATATTTCTATGGATAGGAATTAGAAATTATAAAACCTCGGAATGGATGAAAATTTAAAGTCAAGTAAATTATACTTTCTGTCTTGGGGAGAATGAGCAAAGAGGAAAAAGACTGATTATACTTGCTAAAGTCTATCTTGAGTGGAATGGAAGTTCCTCAGAGACATGCAAAGATACATGAAAGGGCTTTCATCTAAGATTTTGTAAAATATTTCTGGAATGACATAACGTCTTGAAAGCTTTTTATTGCAGAATGCATCACTTAAGTTTTCAACTACAGCTGATTAACCATAACCACTTTTGTAACATCATGGAAAAGAAGCAAACAAACGAATGAAGAAAACAATGACATTTTCTTCTTGAGACTTTGTAGGACTTTCTAAAAATGATCCTCTAGTCAAAGAAATAGGAGATCAGGTTGCACTAAAACTGTCAGACGCAGTACCATCAGAAGTCTGATTCTAAAAAACAAACAAACAAACACGGTCGGGCGCGGTGTAATCCCGGCACTTTGGGAGGCCAAGGCGGACAGATTTCCTGAGGTCACGAGTTCAAGACCAGACTGGTCAACATGGTGAAACCCTGTCTCTACTAAAAAATACAAAAATTAGCCAGGCGTGGTAGCGGGTGCCTATAATCCCAGGTACTCGGGAGGCTGAGGCAGGGAGAATTGCTTGAACCTGGGAGGCAGAGGTTGCAATGAGCCGAGATCATGCCACCGCACTCCAGCCTGGACGACAGAGACTCCGTCCACTCCGCCAAACAACAACAACAACAACAACAACAACAAAGTCAAAGGTAGTAGTATAATCACAGCTATGTTTTTCTTTAAAATGATTACAATACCCAAGAAAAAATCATAAAAACCTATTTCTCATGATTCCAAATAACAATTATGTTTATTTGTCCATTTAAAAAATAACTGTGTTGTTTTCCTCAAAGGTGTTATTTCCTTAAACTAATCATCCAAAATCGGTGCAATGACCTGTTGGTCTGAAAATACTTATTAAAATAGCAATTAACTCTGCATAATTTTAGAAGCATTTATACTGATAATTAAGGCTTTGTTGAGTAGCTCTGGCAGTTCAGTGGTAGGTCAAGATTACAGTATTTACTAAGCCTAATCAGGCCATTTCATGATCCATCATATTTATACTTTGGGGACTATTTACTTTATTTGTATGTTGAATTAGATGCCCTAATGTCATTAGCTACGTCAGCTACTTTTTCAACTTGCTAATTGTAATACCTTAATTAACATGTCTAAAAAATGTGCTGCTCCATTGTTTCTTCCTAAATAGAAAGTTTCCCAATTAAAAAAATTCAAAAGTGTTCTCCAAAAATTGAACATAGTTATTTATAGATTTGATTTTAATTATTCTTTAGTCATTTTTTATAATCTTATATTACTTTTTGAGAGTAATGTAATGTAAATTACTTCCCAAAAGTAATATAAATTACTTTTCCTTTTGTTCCTTTTATTGCTTCTGTATTTTCTTATTTTAATATTCAAAAGATTACACTGCTCATTAATTAATTCATTAGTTACTTTACTCCTTTCACAATTGTTTATTCTATATCTGTAATATTCCCAGTATATTTTTAAATACAGAAAATTAGAACGAAATACGATCTGGTTTCTTCTCTCAAAAATCTCAAAATCAGCTAAGTGATAAATAAATATAAATATGAGTTATTTTATGATTTCAAAAGAGTATTAAGCACCTGTGATTGAGGAAATTTGCCTTGAGGAGGTAATGCTTGAGCTAAATCTGGAGAAATTATTTTGAAGTCATTGGGCATAGAAAGAGTAGAATGCAGTATTTTCTGATTATTTTATATAGTTTAGAATTGCTGAGTATGAGATTCAAATGGGACAATTTAGGAAGATGATAGAAAAAAGACACATAGGGCAATATAAAAGCATAAAAAGAAATCCGGAATCATTTTGCAGGTTATAGAAGCCATGCAAAACACTTGGTAAGTAAATTTTGAATAGATTCACAATTTAGCAATATATGTCTGGTCAATATATGTTAGCTAAATTGAAGAGGCTGTAACTAAAGGGGATAATAACAACTAGGGGACTACTTTGCAGTTGCAGGTCCAAAACCTACATGCTGAAAGTAGAGTAAAAAGTAGGTGGTTAATGCAATAAATATTAAATAATTTGTCACACTCTTGGGGAAAATAGAGGAGTTGACAAAGATGACCCCGAGTGCAGTTGGCATAATTATAGAAATTATAAGTAAATAGATATATTTAGAATGACTGTATTATCAATAATGATATTTAACACTAATAATAATAATATTAGCTAACATTGATTTCTGACTATATGCCAGGCAATGTGATGACCACTTTATATTCTTGTATAATATTTTGAAAATGTATATTATTAAAATTTACTAACTACATACTCACCATTTCTCTATAAATCTTTTTTGTATTTCTCTATAAGTCTTGAATATATGTTTATTCAGCAACTCTCTTGCAATAAAGAGATTATTAACTTAAAATATTAATTTGTTCTATTGATCAACTAATTTATGTTAGAGAAAAGTTCATTATAAAATTCATAATTTTTTTATCCAGGAGTCTTTCTCTATTTCTCTATTCCAATTACAGGCTCACTCCCTTTGATAATAATTATATACTTTCTACTCTTTTTCAATTATCTTAAGTTTTTTCCATCTCTACCATCAGGTGAATAGCCATGCTTCATATTTAACTGATGAAAACATCTCTTTTGATCCAATAAAAAAAGATTTCCACAACGTCCTACCACCATAGCTCCCCCACTCACACCTGGGTTCATGTATTTAGCCTATCCTATTACTATGAAATAATTTTTTGTGTTCCTCTGTTAGGTCATATACTCCCTCAGTACAAGAGCTTCCCCCCTGACTTACCAGTGCATAGATATTATTCCAGCTTTTATTCTCTTTTGTTCCTGCATTCTCTGTTATTATATATCTCATAATTTTTTCCCATTATCACAAACATATTTATATTTTCCTCTAAAATCTAAAATCAAAAATAACATCCCTTAAAATGTATTTATCTGTCATAGAGTCTTCTCCTTTCTTTTAGGCAGAAAAAATACCTTAAAAAGAGATATGTATAGTTGATGTCTCCAATTGCTTTCCTCTATTTGAATCTTCTCCAAACATTCTTTGGATTCCTTTCAAATGTCTTTGTATATGTCAAAAAATCCAGTTATCATTTATTAGTATAAATCAAACTTTACCTTTTATATCAAATAACACAGTTGATCATGTCTTTTTGGCTTTTATTCTAAAACACAACATTCTTATTGCTTTATTTGGATCCGACTTACTGGTCATTCTCTCTCCTTTGCAAAATGCACTATCTCCCAGACCTTGAAATTTTAGTGTGTTTCAAGGATCTATTCCTGAATTTTTCTCTTCTTACTCTACATTCTTATTGATCTCAACTTTTTTTTTTTTTTCTTAGATGGAGTCTCACTCTGTTGCCAGGCTGGAGTGCAGTAGTGCCATCTTGGCTCACTGCAACCTCCACCTCCTGGGTTCAAGCGATCCTCCTGCCTCAGCCTACCAAGTAGCTGGGACTACAGGTGCGCACTACCATGTCCAGCTAATTTTTTGTAGTTTTAGTAAAGACGGGGCTTCACCATGTTGGCCAGGATGGTCTTGATCTCTTGACCTCGTGATCCACCCACCTCAGCCTTCCAAAGTGCTGGGATCACAGGCATGAGCCACCACACCCAGCCTGATTTCAACTTTTATCATGACTTCAAATAGCATCTATATACAAATTTATCTCTTGGTCTCCATACTCATTCATCTAATTGTCTAAATTTCATCTCTACTTAGATATCTAGTAGGCATTCCATACTTAACATATTCAAAATCAAACTCAGTTCACCTCCACTTCTTACTGTGAATGAATAAAACCGCTTCTCTCACAGCTCTCCCCACCTTCATTAAGATCAACTCTTTCCTTCATATTGCTTAGGCTGAAAATTTGGGATCATCATTGATCATTTTTTTTTCTTGCATCTATTACCAAATCCCTCCACAAATCCTACAGGAATTTTCTCCAAAATGTATCTCAAATCTACCACTTCTCTCTTCTAAGCTAACATGTTGTCCAAGCAACCTTCATCTCCTATCTCCTAACTTGATAATTTAATATCCCATAACTATTCTCCTTGCTTTTGCCTTTGCCCTTCCCGTTAGTTTTACAAAGTGGCCAGGGTGATTGTGTTCTCACTGAGGCCCTTTTGACAATCCATTATGAAACTGAAACCTTCCTCCCTTCCCTCCAGCACTATTTATCTGTCTTCTTTTCTTTATTTTTCTTGTTCACATTTATCATTCTCTTACTCCATGTTTTAGTTATTTTTTATTTTTACTATTTATTTCATCCCTCAGAGGGCAAAGATAATTGTCTCTCATATTTGGCACTCTACAGGTGGTGTCCAGACTAGTCTTCACATAGAGAAAACAATATATATTTGTTAAATAAATGGATGACTACATGCATTGGAGAATATCTTAAGCTTAAAAAACAATCATACAGCTTGTTCATGTCACATTACTAAATTTATAGAATCTGTCTTATTAATAATTATAAAGAAACAGTAAAAAAGAAAGGAAGAAAGGAAAGAAGGAAAGATGAAAAAGTAAAGACAGAAACTGGAAAGAAAAGAGAATAGACCTTCATCCTTGGGTTAACTTCAGCAAGTGTGATCTTTTCCAGTGTTAACCAATAACATTATTTACCTTATTAAAATGTTCACTCACTTTCCAGGGTACTTAGAATAAGATTCAAATTCTGTATCCTGGCCTGGAAATGTAAATAGAATGTGCCTTTTTCTGATATTATACCCCTTCACCACTTGTCACTAAGTTTACACTACCAGCCTTTGAGTTCTAAAGACACCTCTGCTTAATTGAATCCTTATTGTCCTCTGGATGAAGGTTAAATACTAACACCTAAGAAAGGTCTTTCTTCACAATCAAATATAAACCGCTCACCTAATATTTCTGTGTTATATCACCCTGATTTATTCTTATCATGATTTACTAATTTATCATATTTGCATGTATTTATTGTCTATCTCAATTAAGTAGAATTTGAGCTCCATGAGGGTTAATTGTGCTATTAATGTTCTATTTCCATTGAAGCTGAGAATTCAAAACCATTCACTAAAGTAATCTATTCTCTGAATCTACTTGAAGGAAGCAGCCTTTTCATGAGCTCATGTCCCAGTGTTGCCCAAACACCTTGATGATTAGAAGCAAGAGTACTCTGCTTAGTAGAAACCTGCAGGGGGAGCAGTCAGAGAACACCCTGTTCTACTGAGATAGTATGAATCTCTCTTCATAAATCCTGATGTGCTAGAAATTTCACTTTCCCTTCTTCCCCCAAATCAGCT